>NC_000022.11:32345927-32497442 GCF_000001405.40 Homo sapiens | reverse complement strand
TGCAGCTGGAGGCCATTATTTTAAGTGAAGTAACTCTAGAATGGAAAACCAAATCTTGTGAGACCTAACCTATGAGGATGCAAAGGCATAAGAATGACATAATGGACTTTGGGGACTTAGGGGGAAAGGCTGGGAGGGAGGTGACGGCTAAAAGACTACATATTGGGTACAGTTGTACACTGCTTGGGTGACGGGTGCACTAAAATCTCAGAAATCACCACTAAAGAACTCATCTATGCAACCAAAAACCACCTGTACCCCAAAAACTATTGACATTTTTTTAAAAAAAGAAACCACTTTCTCTCTTTATCCGTAAGAAGCAAGTTCTCATCCATTCAAGTTTGACTGTGAGACTGCAGCAATTCAGTCCCATCTTCAGGCTCCACTTCTAATTCTAGCTCTCTTGCTAGGTCCATCACATCTGCACTTCCTCCACTGAAGTCTTGAACCCCTCAAAGTCATCCACGAGGATTGGAATCAACTTCCAAACTCCTGTTGATATTTTTATCTCCCCCATGAATCCTCAGTATGCTTAATGGCATCTAGAAGGCTAAATCCTTTCCAAAAGGTTTTCAATTTCCTTTGTCCAGATCCATCAGAGGAATCACCATCTCTGGCAACTATGGCCTGACAAAATGTATTTCTTAAATAATAAGATTCAAAGTCAAAATTATTCCTTGATCCATGAGCTTCAGAATGCAGTTGTTTGCTGACATGAAAACGTTAATCTCCTTGAACATCTCCATCAGAGCTCTGGGATGACTGGCTGCATTGTCAATGAGCAGTAGTATTTTAAAAGGAGTATTTTTTATAAGCAGTAGGCCTCAATAGTGGACTTGAAATATTCAGTAAACCATGCCATAAATGATGTACTGTCATCCAGGCTTTGTTGTTCCATTTACAGAGCAAAGGCACAGATTTAGCATAATTCCTTTTTTTGTTGTTTTTTTGTTTGTTTTTTGAGACAGAGTCTCACACTGTCTCCTGGGCTGGAGTGCAATGGAGCGATCTTGGCTCACTGCAACCTCCACCTCCTGGGTTCAAGCGATTCTCCTGCCTCAGCCTCCTGAGTAGCTGGGATTACAGGTCCACACCACCACATCCGGCTAATTTTTTGTATTTTTAGTAGAGACAGGGTTTCACCGTGTTAGCCAAGATGGTCTCCAACTCCTGACCTCAGGTGATCCGCCCACTTCGGCCTCCCAAAGTGCTGGGATTACAGGCGTGAGCCACCACACCCGGCCTGATTTAGCATAATTGTTAAGGGCCCTAGGATTTTCAGAATGGTCAACAAGCACTGGCTTCAAAAATCACCAACTGCATTAGCCCCTAACAAAAGAGTCAGCCTGTCCTTTGAAGCTGGGCACTGACTACTTCTCTCTAGCTATGAAATAGATGGCGTCTTCTTCCAATAGAAAGCTGTCTCACCTACACTGAAAATCTGTTGTGTAATGCAGCCACCTTCATCAGTGATTTTAGCTACATCTTCTGGATAACTTGCAGCAGCTTTTCCATCAGCACTTGCTGCTCCACCTTGCAGTTTTTGTTATAGAGACATTAGAATAGTACCTTATGAAACAATACAATATATTCTTTTCATAAGGTACTATCTTAACTAGCTGAACAGCTGATGACTACTCCAGCACAGACAACTCATTTAAATTTTGTTGCAAAAAAGAATGTTTTATAATAAAGATGAAAAATAACACAATGATAACATTTTTTTCCATATAATTATAATAAGGATTGAGTCTAAAGTAAAAGTTGAAAACATTTTCATTTACTGAAATTTAGCAATAAATTAAAACAGATTTCACTACATCATATAAAAGTGAAAATATACCCTTAATATATTAATTCACTAGTCATTTCTGTGTTATGGACATTAGTCTTAATATTTAAAAATACCTACTTCTTTCCAATCTGTGTCTTGAACTCTGACAGTATTGTCTACAAAGGAAAAGGGAAAAATAAGGATTTAAAAACATTTCATTCGTCCTGCATTAAACAGTGGGTTTTGTTTTTCTCCTAAGAAAAGTGAAACTTACCCGTTAAGCATAAAAAAAAAAAAAAACTAACCATTTATATAACACACACTATATCATTTGTACTTTCTTATCTAATTCAAACACTTTATTGATGGTTAAGGGTGATCATTGCTGCTCTGTGCTACATGGTAATTCAATGCAGTGTGATTCCTCAGGGACTATGGAGGAACATGTGGCTACTCTCTTCCTGCATTAACTGGTCCTACACTACCTCTTCTCCCCCTAATCTCATTTAGGTGTGTCACCTGCTTCTAATCCAACATCTCACGTTACACCAAACTGGGCAACAACCTCTGAGCTTCTGTGTTACAGCCCACGTTCATTACTGGAGGTCAAGCTGACTTAGGCTTTCATCCATATTCTGGTTACACTACTTTCTCCCAACGATGTCCTGAATGACTCGGCTATCAGAAGCATGACCATAACTAAGTATTTTTTAATGTACTTATTTATTTGAAATATGTGAAATGAGGAAAGAGAAACCCATTCAACTTTAAGTATACAAAAGAGTTTGAATAAAAGATGATATCTTCTCTACAAGTTACTACATTAGCATGGAAGTAAGATTTATAAAAGCTCTAGCTCCGTAACATTTTATCTACAGAAAAATCTGAACAGCTTACAAATGAGCTTGTGGGCCACAATCTAAAAATTAAAGAATAATTGTGCTTTAATCCTAAACTTGAATATACAAGTGAAAGGGTATTTGTTGCTTTTATAAGTATTTATATCATACTCTGCTTTTTCTCGGTGCTTCCATATACATCAGTCATTCTGTCTTTTCTTTTTTTACTATATTTTCAATTCTTTTTTGAGTTGGAGACCAGCCTGAGCAACACTGCAAGACTTTGTCTCCACTAAAAACAAACAAACAAACAAACAAAAATTGGCCAGGTGTGGGGGCGCATGCCTACAGTTCTCAGCTACTTATGAGGCTGAGGAGGGAGGATCACTTGAGCCCAGGAGTTGGGGGTGGCAGTGAGCTATGACTGCGCCACTGCACTCCAGGGCAACACAACTAGACCCTGTCTCAAAAATACACAAATAAATAAAATTGAATTATTTTTTGAGATGATGCTTTCTTGCTGCCAATTGTGACAAAATAACATTTTAAATGTCAAATTCAGGGGCATAAATAAAGCAGAAAGAGGACCTCAGGAATCAAAGAAGAAGAAAAGGAACAAACCAGGTCATTTACACTTCTCACATTTTGAAATTTTAAAAGAAAAAAAAATTTTAGCAATCCAAATGACTCTACATGATATTCTTTTTTTTTTTTTTTTTTTTAAGGGAGCTATCTACCCACCACATTTTTACAGTTACTAAGGTGGTATGTGTTAACATCACATATAGCAGTATCATTCAAACATTTATGTGAACCACATAAAAATTTTACATTGCAACACAGTATACACCTACCTATACATAATTGAAATAGAAGTTTACTCCTATTTTATAAATAGGAATACTATTTATAAAATAAATATGGATTTTTCCATTGTGGGTTTTGTTTTTTTGTAACATGACCCATTAAATGGATTTCATGACCCACCCCAGGGTCAAACATTCTGAAAACACTAATATGTAGTAAAATGGTGGTAGCAGAAAAAAAAGTTCCACAATCAGGCTTTTGGCCTTGTAGCAGGAAATCCTGATGCACAAGTTCTACCATCATCACTGCCAAAATAATTACCAGGTCACCATAATGTGACCATACAGAAATAAAGCTACCCTAGCAACTTGGAACAGGTCAACAAAACTCTCCTAACTTACACATTGGTCTCAACCATGAAAGCAGTTCAGAAATGCCAGCTCGTTTCTACGTCAGATACTGACTATGGTCTCTAGTGAGAAAATAAGCCTGTTTTACTTCCATTTCTCTATCCTGAAATAATCTTCTTAGTCTAATGAGTGATTTGTGTTGTGCAAAACACAAAAATGAGAGAGTTTTAGGGACACAGGCACAGGTATATGAAGCTTAGAGTCAGTCTCTTTAAGGCTATTTATTGTAATCATTTGCAACAGAAAAATCCTACAACTAAAAACTTTTGGTGAGCTGAGTAATCAAGACAATAAGAGCCCTTTCTTGTGAATATGTCATTACGGAAATCACCTCGAAAATCACGCAGATATAAAAACCTCCACAGGAGTGGGTCATTTGAAGCAGTAAAGAGGTCACGACAAACCGCAGACAAAGACAAGACGGAACGAACATCCAGAAGTCGGAAGATCCGTAGTTTCAGTTCCAATGGGAGGACGACCAACCCAAATACATCTGGTAGGTTCAGTGCTAAAAGGAAAAAAAGAGAAGTAACAGGTATTACTGAGTAAAGAACATCTGGCTTTCTCCACATAGTCAACAAAGTTGCCACTTGTTCCTTTCTAAAGTGACAGAAAATTAGATGGTACTCTTAATTATCCCCAAGTATGCATCATCTACAACAAATTTTTAACCCCAGCTTGACTATAATTACTATTAACTCATATAACTCTAGGCCCTTATTCCCTTTATGTTTTAGTGGAAAGACAAATGCTTTTTAATATAAATCAAATAACTATGATAATTGCTAAATACTAGCCAATGGTCTCTTCTGTCTCAAACATTATTCAATACAACAAAATTTCTTCATTCAACTACAGAAAATGAATAATTCACTGGCTTTTATATCTGTTTCCATGCCAGTTATTAACTGTGTGCCTTTGGACAAGTTATTTAAATGCTATCTTAATTTCATCTGTAAAATGGATTAATATTACATTCCACCTACTTCAATGAGTTGTGAGAAGTAAATGTATTAACACATATTAAGTGCTTAGAACAATGTTTGGCACACCAAGCATAAGCACTCAAGTGTTAGCAAATTACTATTATCTGAAGTCTAGCAGGCTAAAAAGAGATAGATAAATTCAGAAACAAAGCCAAGAAAGGAAAGGAAAAATAATATGTCCCAAGTTCAATGAAAATTATGTTTTGGTTATTAGCACCTTCAAAATATTTGTGATACTATTCTCCACTAGCAAAAATAATCAAAATCCAACAGACATATCTACATGTTTTTCAATTGGCATTACTCCCTTTCCCTTATCACCAACTACAGAGAAGACTACTGTAATAATAGACATGCCACCATTCAACTTGACACCAAAAACGTTTTACTTATTTCTCTACATATAGAGAGCAAATAAAAGCCACTATCTATTCATATAAGTCAAACTACCTACTAGTTGGAGAATTGTGGTAGATTGTATTATGGTTCTCAATCACTTCCTACGCATAATTATACTTCCCCATCCCACCACCATCAGGCTTGGCCATTTTTGTCTTATTTTTTCTGACAAAACGTGAGTGGAAGTGACATATATAATTTCTGGGCAAAAGCGTTGAACCAACACATAATTGGGCCACTGGCACTCCTTTCCTTCTACTACAAGAGGAGCATGTCCTGGATAAAGACAACTCCTTCAGCCAAAGCAAACCCACACACAACATGTACACGAGTGAGAAGTAAATTTCACTGTAAGACACTGAGATTTTAATTTTTTTAACTGCAAAAAAATGAGAAGCTAATATAAGGATCTCGAGTGAATTATAAACCTTATTGAATTATGATTTCATCATCTATAAAATAAGTACCACATAATTTACTTCGAAGTCATTAGCAGTAAATAAGAATGCATGTGAAATATCCAACTAAGTGCCTGCAAAGAGCCTCCAATAAATGGTTTAAAAAAAAAAACTTAGATCCAATTACAGACCATGTATTATTTATATATGTCTATATAGACATATATATCTAAATATATGTCTATATAGACATATATATCTAAATATATGTCTATATAGACATATATATATGTATCTACACAGAGAGAAAGAGCATCTATTATGTACCTGACCTCATGCTAGACCACAAGAATACAAAAGTAAGATATATTCCCTACCTTCAAGGTATTCCCAACCTTAGGTGGAAAGAAATCATATCAACAATTATAGTCCATGGAAAAGAGACTACAATAAAAATATGTACAAAATGGCATGGAGATACAAAGATAAAGTAAATAGCACTTAAGGAATATTAAGCTTAGTCTTAGAAGAGGAACATTTCGCCAGGAGCAGAAAAGAGGGCAGTCAGATGTCATACTCACCAAGAATATTAAGTATACTTACTATTCTTTACAGTCATTTAAATTGTGACAGTATTTCATCTCTTACCTTGTCGGGTAAAAGCCAGAAGAGGATACACCAGCTGGTCTTTAAAGAGGCGAGAGAGTTTCTGAAGATCTTTGTATATGTTGGCTACATTTTCCCCTAGAATATTTTTTAAAGTAAAATCAAAACCCAAAATCAAGTGAAAAAACTGTCCTCTATTTCTGCCAAACCCAATCAACATGGTGAATAAATATTCACAAATAATTCACAAAGATAAGCATGAACCAAATTCCCTCATGGAAGAAGTACAGTGCAAGACTTGATGAAACTGAATCTTAGATATAAAAGCTAAAAATTCCATGATATCAAATTAGTAGAGCTGTGCCCAACCTCTCTAGCTCATAGGCTGCAGTTGTAGAAAAGACTTGTGAGAGATTCATACATACGAAGATTTCCTGATAGCTATCAATCTGTTCTGGGCACTAAGGATACAGTGGAGAACTGCTCCTGTTAACGCTTAGAACCTGGTAAATTAATAGCATTTATCGCATGATGACTATGTATCAGCACCTGTGTCAAGCGTTTTTCAAGCTTTCACATCAGAAGTTCTTTCCTAATTACTATCTCCATTTTAAAAACAGGTCAAGGTACAGAAAGCCTGTCCAAGGCCCCATGGTTAGTGGCAGAACAGTGCACAAACCCAAGTCCGTGTGGCTCAAAAGCACTCATTTTTAGTCACCACACTGCTACTCAACATGTGGGCGACAGATCACCAGAACTGACAATACCTGGAACTGTTTAGAACTACTGAATCTCAGGCCCCCACAGACCTACCAAATCAGAACCTATATTTTAATAAGATCCCCAGGTGACTCATAGTAAAGTACGGACGCACTAGCAAACTGCAGCCGAGGTTCCCACTTGTTTTGCTATTTACCAAGTGTATAGCCTTGGACAAATAACCTGCCCCTCTGATCCTCACCTTTTTGCTCAACTGTTTAAAGGAGACACCACCACTACACCAGATAAGCGTTGTTATAATTGAAAGCTCCACGAGCAGTGCCTAGGGTATCAGTAGGCAATTTATGCTTGCTCCTTCCCCATTTCATATTTATGTATTTCACTATCTATAACAAATAAAACACTCAGTATAACAGGATCGATAAGAAGAAGGAAAGAGATATGCAGCTAATGTCTAAATCTTTGTTGTGTGACTTGCAATCTTGAGTTGAAATTTGCTGTCAAGATATCATTCTTTAAAATCAATTTGGCTCAAGGGCTTTTTTCAAATGTGAAAATTGATTTTCTTTAAATGAATGTTTTCCTTCAGCAACCTGGTATGTAACTATTTAATTAGGAACTTATAAATAAAAGGATAAATAACAGTGCCTAGTTATAGTTACTAGGTGCTATGAACCACAGTAAAAATTCATTAAAATGACTTGCCAAATGAGCAGCATATTCCTACTCAACATAAGACTTTATTAAAAATACTTCATTATAACAGTCCATAAACTTGTAATTTAACAGTATTTAATGTTCCTCCTCCCTTCCATTTCATTTTTCTTTATTTAAGAGAAACCAGATAAAGAATAACAATCTGAGCTACATTCCTGTAAAAGTTGTTTTAAAAGGCTGGGAGTCAGCCAAATCTATTCCTATCCTGTATTTCACCATTTATTGGCTCTGTGACCCTTAAGTAAGTGAGCCTCCTCTAGATCTGTTTCCTGATCTATAAAATGGGCATAAAACCTCTACTGCTGTAAAGTGTAGAGTGTTTCTACTCCCCATAACAAGGTCCTCCCTATACGGTGATAAATATGGAGTGTCGTAGCCAAGGAATTTCAAGTTTTTCTGATCCTCATGATAAAAGCCATCTATACCAATTCATCAGTCCAGTTTATGCATTTCCAACAGGGGCAAAAACTGGTCCTTGACGGGTTAAAAAGAAAAACTATTATATTGGTTTGTGATCCTTCAAAGGGTCACAGTACATAAATAAAACATACTATATTTGTGGTATGAAATTTCATGAAGGAGAGAGATTGAGGGGAAAATCTCCAACGGCTCCTTTGGGAAGTGAGAATAAAAAGATTGAGAAACTCTGGCCTAGTCTGACATTAAATGTTCAACTCGGTCGGGCGCAGTGGCTCATGCCTGTAATCCCAGCACTTTGGGAGGCCGAGGCGGGCAGATCACAAGGTCAGGAGTTCGAGACCAGCCTGGCCAATATGGTGATACCCTGTCTCTACTAAAAATAAAAAAAAATTGGCTGGGCGTGGTGGTGTGCGCCTGTAGTCCATCTACTCAGGAGGCTGAGGCAGAAGAATTGCTTGAACCCAGGAGGTGGAAGTTGAAGTGAGCCGAGATAGCGCCACGGCACTCCAGCCTGGCGAAAGAGCAAGACTCCGTCTCAAAAAAAAAATTCAATTCAGCTAATTCCCAATTTCTGACTCTACATCCAATCAGAGACCGTTATAAATATGTATTCTGCTATCTCCTTTTCCTGTCAGTTTTAGTTAGTATAAGTCAATCTCTCAGGGCTGATCTCCCCTAGGAATGAACAAGAATAAGCCTTTAGGCCTTCAAAGCAACAATGTCAATCTAGCCAGCCTTTCCTAAAGGACTGCTATAAATGCCATCTTCCCATTGTACCACAACATTCCCACTAGGCTCTTAAAACCCTCCTAAGTTTACTAAGAAGATTAAATGGAATAACATATGTACAGGCACAAGTACAGAATGAAACAGGCACTTAAAAAATGTCAGTTCCCCTCTCCACCTTATCTCTTCTGCTCCAACCACCTATAACTGCCTCTCACAGTTTGGTTTAACTGAAAAATGATAAAAGGGAAAACCTGTCTTCTTTGTATCTATTAATAATTTTATAGAGTTTAAGCAAAACCTTACCTAGAATGCAAACCTTTGGTAAAGTATCAATCTGTATAAAATAGCCATCAAATTTATATAGGTTTAAACAAACATTTTGATTGTAGTTTTTCCTCCAATAATCTTCAATAATGAACTTGACATTGAATTACTTTCATGAAACACAGATCCCCTCCATATTGGTTAAATACCAATATGGAGATCTCAATAGGGAGATCTCCAAAGATTAGTACAGAAACTATGAACTATCATCAGAGTGTAATAAATTACATACTAGTGTTATCTCATAACAATATAATTCAGCACACTATGACCCTAAGAAAAACAGGAAAGAAACAAACTCCTCAAATTATAAGCAAAACTTTCACATTTTTTAAACCTTTGCATTCTTAAACAAACCACATTGTCTTCAATATGCTTTAATCTCATATAGAAATTTTCAGTCTTTTGAACATTATCTTTCAGATTTTTTTCTTATATGAATTTCACAGAGTTTCACCCCAAAAGTTAAATAATGTTTGTATTACCTAGTTTCTCTTTGCAAATAAAAGATTCTGGTAGCAGCTGCAATCTTTTCACACTTCTAATCTCATTGTTGATTTTTAGTGTAGCTGTAAATAAACAAAAGAAAGATGATAAAGAATTCTGTCACTTCATCAACTGCCTTTCTTTTTTAGTATGGGCTTGCATTTCCTAGCTCCTAATATACTAAGGACACATTATACAAAACAAACTGTTCTTCGCCTATTTCTTTCTCTGATAGCAAGTTCAAAAGTGTAAACCTGGCATCACATGAAGTAAAATCACTCTACAACACCACCTTTAAAAACTACAGTAAGCATCTTTATATAAAATCCACTAGGCAGCAGCTTATTAGTAACTTAAAGATATGCAACAAGGTTAATCAGAGGCAACTAAACACAATAAAATCATTATTTCTAATGAAGTCACTAAAAACTCCATTTATTTTTTATTTAACCCTTGGCAATGAGTCTTCCTTTGTTCATTAAAATAATCTTGCTAGTTTTCACAGCATCATCTCTCTTCCAGACCCAAAGGATAAATATACTTGACATCACCAGAGGGTTCAATTTTAATCATGTATACAAAGGCGCACTTCATCTCATTCCATGAAAGAGCCCAGTGATGTGCTTATGCACATGTGCACCAAGCAGGATGCCTTGGGTGAAGGAAAGATTTAAAGACACACTGCTCCTTTTCAAAGAATCAATCCTGGAACGGCTGGCTGCCATGCAAGTCTGCCAAGAGCTGATTTGCCAAGAACAGTAAAGAAACAAAACATCAGAAATTAGGAAATCATCAAGACATTCAGCAGTTATTCTTTTTATATTAAGTATCCTGAATCTAGTGAATAGAGGTTATTATACACGTCATTAAGTGCTTTTATAAAAAATCAAGGCAAAATTTGCAACTACACATTTACTATTTGGTAACTCCAACCTTGCAAGTTATGATGTGATGTAGCAGAATGATTAGATGAAGGCAGAAACTGTTGACACTCTGTGTACAAGAATGCCAAAGTAAAAGCTACATTTGCTAATTATGATGAACTGCTGAATAGACATTGCTAGGTCCTAGTGTCATCAGACAGTCATGTCCTGACAAATGTGAAGTACCACCAAAGCTATTAAACCTAGTTTTGAGACTTTTAAATAACATTTCAAAGAATCTTATGACTAAAGAAATAGAAATTTCGTAAGAGGCCAGGCATGGTTCACACCTGTAATCCCAGCACTTTGGGAAGTCAAGGCAGGAATATTGCTTCAAACCCAGGAGTTTGAGACCAGCCTGGGCAACACAGTGACACTTCATCTCTACAAAAAATAAAATAAAAAATAGCCAGGTGTGGTGGTACACGCCTGTGGTCCTAGCTACTCAGGAGGCCAAGGAGGAAGACTGCTTGAGCCTAGGAGGTCAAGGATGCAATGATCCATGCTCTGCCTACTGCACTCCAGCCTGGGCGACAGAGCAAGACCCTGTCTCAAAAAAAAGAAAAAAGAAACTTTGTAAGAGGGGAATGAGAACTATCCAACATGTCAAAGATCAAGATGGCATGAGTCAGTAGCTTTCAAAATAGATTTTAGCAGGAAAAAAAAAAACCAACATTTTTTCAAACAGAATCTTACACAGAACTTCAATAAATGAAACAGATAAACATTTTGCTGCTCAAGGTTTAAGTGGTGATAGGGCTTCTACCTAACTTTCATCTCAGCAGAAAGGAGTAGCTACAGAACATACTGAAAACCTCTGACCTAAACCTTTGACCTAAGGCTTACCAAAGCAACTGCCTTTGCTAAACGAAAAAGATGAGCTATACTGAATAAAAAAACAACAAACGCAGCCCTCCCAATCTTACCACGCTATCTTTCTAACTAAAAGGATAAATCTCAAAAAACAAAACAGAACAAAAATGAAAGCTCCTAGTCATTCAAATGGATCTCCAGTATGTGTGATTATGACAGAACACTAGGAGTTGATATGAAACAAAGTGGTACCTGAACTAAAACACAGAGATGGAATGCATTGCTATTCCAGTGAAATTTCTTAATATGAAAAATAAACAGGAAAAGTTATTCATACAGAGTGACATTTGTTGGGGGAGGCCCAGCAAATAAAACACATACTTACTAAGGCCCCAGTAAACTTAGCATTGTTGTTGTGCATTGCTGGTCACAGGGATGCCAACTTGGATAAATGGTGACCCCAGGTCTAGCTCCCCATGTCTCAGTTCAAGACCTTCGTTAAAAAAATAAAGCCATCCACAGGCATAAAGAAAAAGTATTCTCCAAGGAGTTCATGTGTAATAGGCTCATTTCACTCCTATTATCAAATACTGATAATATTGGATAATATTAAATATTATCCCCCAGAGCAAAATATTACAAAGATTAAGACATCAAAAAAATGGATGCCCTAAGAATGAAGGGTGCTGGCCTAAACAACTCAACAACCTCATATTCCATGATCTTCCAGACACATGTTATCAGTGGCCTAGGAATTAAATACAGTTGAGAAGGACTCACAACTGTATCATGATAGCCAATCACTGAAGTGGCTATAAAACATTTGGAAAGAAACGTCTAAGAATCCATAAACCAGCAACCATGACTATGCTATCCAATTACCATTTACAACAATCAGGTTTCCCAAAGGCACACAGGTGAGAGTAGCGGAGCTGCCCTCGCAGAGAGGATGCATGTACTGCAGCTTATACACCCCGCTCAACTTCCACTTCTCCGGCATGGACAGTGCTTTGGCTTCGGTGCCCTGGGGAACGAAATGAAAGGGAAACAAATAATGAAGAAAGGTGTTACTCTCAAAAAGATTAAAAATCCAAAAGACTCCTAACTTGTTTGAAATAATCACTCCACACAGTCCTCTTAATAAAATGCATCAAATCATTAACATTGCCAATATATTTTATATTGTAGGATAACCATATTGTATAAGATAATATATTAGAACACTTTTAATCAAAATTTTTGTTCAAATAGGTAAAACTGCATCATGGAAACAGGGATTGATCTCTCTCTTCAAAGACTCACTTCTCTCCTAGCAAAGCCATATGATTATTTAAAACTCCGGCTCAAATATCACTTCCTCCGTAAAGCCTTTTTCAAAGAAAAATTGTTTGCCATTTCCTTTCATCCCCTAGCATTCTATTCATATTTCCATTACACTTCAATTGTATTATTATCTATGTTTACCTGTGTTATTTCTGAGTATCTTTTTATTCATCTCTCTCCTCTATGTATGGACTCCTTGAAGACAAGAAATATCCCAATATTTTTATATCCTAATTTCTAGGTCAGTGCATGGCATGCTGCAGGTGTGCACTGATCACCGAACTACTCTGTATCTTTGTAACTTATAACATGGCTCACAGACCAGCAACATTGGTATTATGCAGGAGTATGAAGAAGTTCACGGTCCATTCTACAGTTACTAAATCAGAATCTGCATTTTAATAAGGTCCCCAGGTATTCCAAAGCGCATTAAAGTTTGAGAAGCAATATTCTAAATGTTCTCCTCCATGAATTCCTGGCATCCTATATATGAGTATGTTTCTCCCAGAACTTCACCAATATAGCACAGTGCTTTATATTTTTGTCTCTCTCTGCCACTCTCAGACTACGGGCAACTTGAGAGCAGGAACCATCCACATGTATGAGCAATCATAAGATGTCTGTGTTTTGCTTGCAGTACTTACCTGAGGTATGTAACCTGACTCCAACATGAGAAGATGTATCAACACTATCAAGGCATCATTGGCATCAGAACAGTCAGCTGATTGATACAAGGTCTCTAATGAATGTGGCACTTGCCCTTCCACCGATTCACTACAGAGCATGGGTTCTGAGGGATAGAAACCTGTGCCCTCTGCCATATGCGCATTATCTTGAATTGACTCAGCTTCAAAATTTTGACTAGGCCCTAACTGAAAAAGGAAAACAAAACAATGAATTAATTAAAGACTTATTTTTACACTATACATTTTTGTATCCTAAAGTGAACTAAGTGCTGAAAGTCAAAGTACATCATTGGGTTCAGAAATGGGAGACATTTTAAGTGAGTCCTTACAAATAAATAAGCCTGCGACCTACTCTTCCATCCTGAATTCCTTACCTCTGTTAATTCTAGCTGGTATGTCAAGAACCTGGAAATCATCCTAGACTCCTCCCTCCCTAACTAAACCTTGTTCCACATCTGATCAGTCTTCAAAGTTCCCTGAAACTAACTCCTAAATATGTCTAAAATTTGCCCCTTCCTGCTCTATTGGCACTTCAAACTCTCATCATTTATTTCCCGACATCCAGCAAGAGCTTCCGTTGCAAGTATCCCTTCTTCAACTTTCTTGTCTTCCAATACACCCCAGTCCCTGCTGCCAGAATTTTCTTGACAATTAAAAATCTGATCATGTACTATGTCGCAGCTTAAAATTCACCAGTACCTCCCCAACATAAACAGCATTTCCCTCAATTGTGCCTTAGATGTTCTTAGGAAAAAAGGTGGTGCACACGGAATAAGTGTGGAAAATACTGCATGCTGCAGCCACCTAACTTCACCCTCCATATTCACAAAATACACTATTCGCATTATATAAGCACTGAGGAGTCTAATAACAATAATAGTGTGTGCCTAACACTTTACCAAAAAACACTATCCTCCGTCCTCAGCAGTCAACATCCCTGTGACACCATCTCATGAAACTAGATTTTCAGAGGACACTGAGAAATGCAGGTCTACAAATGAAGACCAAACTTCTAAATCCCTTAGCATACAAAGTCCTTCATTACCTGATCTCTGACTCATTATCAAGTTCACTTTCTGCCAGTGCCTTCTTACTCATCCCAGTATTTTCCACTTCTTCAAAAGAGGTAACACAGACCACAACTCTGCCTTGCAACGGGCTTGATTACTGCACCTTATCACACTGCACTGTATTGCAATTTTCTGATTACATATCTGCATCCTTCCATGACTGCAAGTTTATAAAAAACCAGACTACATGTCACCCATTTTTGTAACCCCAGTAAAGTACCTAGCACATAGCAGGTATTCAATGTTTGCTGAACAAATGCTGAAGGATAATACCTTACAACTTCATAATGTCTTTATTTTCAAAATGTTTTCTTATTTGCACTTTATAACAATCCTATAAAATAGGCATGGCAGGTATCGCCTTTTTATAGATCCTATAATTATAAATCAGAAAGATTAAATAACATAATCAAGGTTACCAGCTAATAAAAATTTGAAACGAACCCAGATCTCTAAACTTGCAGTTCAGGGCTTTGAGATGTAATACATGGCTTCAAAAAAAACTAAGTTACCTATATTAAGTTTGCTCAGAAAGCTTGTTTCCTAGGCATATGCCCAACTCTTAATGCAAAGCATACGTTTCGTCTTTTTAGGGTTTGTTTAAAGAAGGGGCAAAGGAAATTAAAATTACACAGTATATGTAAAAGGTTGGAGAAATGGAGGGGAGCCGGAGGTGACAGCTGTTCTTCCAAAATCTCTGAGGACCTAAGCCCTAGGGCTTATGGAAAAGATCCAAAGTCACCTGTTAAAACCTAAAGGCCAATGACAAGTCACATTACCCAAAAAGGAGGTATGGCACAAAAATATTTCCATATTTCCTAAGAAAACAGAAACAACTACATTAAAAACCACTTAACATCAAGCTAAACTATGAAACATAGGTTTTGCTTCTTTACCACTATGTCTAACTTTTGGCCATTTACTACTTATTGGCAGTTGTGTGGGACAGAATATATGAGGAAAAATGAAAAAGGGTACCCTAGGCTGAGTACATGAGAGGGAGATATCAAAATCCCCTGCTGGGCTTGTCAAGCCTTACTACTACTCCATAAGAACCACTGACATTCTCTGAGCTATTCTGATATGAATATTTATCAAATTCTTCACATGTGTAAAAATGAAAAAAAAAAGGTGAGCACCACACCTCTCTAAACAGATCATTTTGCCATATGTCATTTACAAAAGACTAAAACAAGTGACTAAGATGCATGAGAGCTAATATTAGGTTCTGATACCTGCTACCCGTTTCTCATTAAAGACTCAAGAGGCACTCGATGAATTCCCAAATATGATGAAATAAGAAAACTGATATTTAATTACAAGAGTAAATTTACCTCCTATGGTTTCAAGTTTTACGCATCTATTTTCCTTTTCTAATGCTCCATTCTACATTACAGAGTGTGATGTACTTGAAAGCATTATTTATGAGATCTTGAGCTCAGTTTCCATACTCTAAAGATTTTCCTGTCACCCTTTACAAGTCTTGGAATACAAAACAATATGCAAAATCTTAGAACTGAAATTAGTAACTTCAGGCAACATTAATTTCTCAAAATTTTCCAAAAGGAAACTAGCAAACTATCACAAATACTGTGAAAAGCTTCATCTTACTAGACAACTTTAAAAGTACACAGAAGTAAAAGTAATGGCCCCTACTAAGTCATCCCAGAACAAGTCTATCAGCAAAAAAGACTCAGAAATATAATTTAAATATACAGCGAAATATTCTTACTCATTCCCCAGTTTACCTCTATGAGGCAGAAACACACAGATAAAACAATAACTTTAAAAATAAATTAAAATCCACATATCTGGACATAATTTTCACAATTTACCAATCTATTAAAAAGTATTTTTTAATATGTCTATACTTAATGCCATGACAAGTTACCATGAATACTTATACTCAAAAATGTTTAAGGCCAGCAATTAAATTGAGGTGATAAGCATACATACAAAAACCAATTAACAAGAAGGCATGTGTATTGGTATTAAAAAAATAAAGGTGATCATTTGCACCATTCAAAAAATTAAAAGGGCGGATAAAGGCCAGGCACGGTGGCTCACATCTGTAATCCCATTACTTTGGGTGGCCAAGGTGGGCAGGTCACTTGAGGTCAGGAGTTCAAGACCAGCCTGAGCAACATGGTGAAACCCCATCTCTACCAAAAATACAAAAATTAGCCAGGCGTGGTGGTGTCTGTGGTCCCAACTACTCGGGAGGCTGAGGTGGGAGAATCGCTTGACCCCGGAAGGGTAGGGTTGCAGTGAGCTGAGATTGTGCCACTGCACTCCAGCCTGGGTGAGGGAGTGGGATCCTGTCACCAAAAAAAAAAAAGGTGGGAAAAATGAGGAGGCATGTACAAGGCAATAAAGATAATCAGATAATCAATACAAAGAAATTAAAGAAAACTATTGGGCTATGGTTGGCAAGGGCTTAGGAAGATGGGTAGAAATATAGACTAGAGAGGGAGGAAAGGTAACAGGTTCCAGTCTGGGTGAACAGCAAGAGCAAAGTCACAAAAGTAGTCACCAGGTTGTGTGTGTGCACATGCATGCAAGCAGGTGAATGTGCTGGTTGGTGGGGGCGGGGGAAAATGATGGGTCTGTTCTGATTGGAGATGACAGTTTAAAGGAAGGAAGAACAGAAACTAGCCCTAAAAAAGTTGAGTGGAGTAACTTTTCAGAAAGCCTTGAGCACTAGGTACAGGAGGACAGACACCATTTTCCTCTTCTGTAAAATGACAGGGTTGAACTAGAGATATATTGTCTTTTTCAGCTCAAAAATTATGAGCACAAGTTTATGAGATAGAGTTATGAAAGACAGCAAGGGAACAATAGCATCAGAACCATGTAGGAAGAAGGCAAATCCAGAAAACAGACTGAGGAATAAAGCCATGGAACCCGAAATGGAAAAGAAGAACTGACAAAGCTTATTAATGGGCTAGATTTAAGGAGTCAAAAATCACAGAAAACCAGCAGTGCCACTGACAAAGAAGGGAACTGAGCACACATATTTCCAAATTTATGTTCAACATCTAAAGTCTGCAATGACAATTTAAAATCCAGGTATAAATATCCTGCAAGTCATCTGGAAATAATTAGACCACATCTATAGCCTTAATGAGCGGACCAGATCAGAGAAGCAAGGCTAGGAATCATGAGCTTAGGAACAATAATAGAAGTCAAGGAATAACTGATCTGAAGGAGAGTATGTGAACAAAACAGACAGACACTAGGTACTTTGGGATGCCAGCCCCATATTGGTACAGGCATTTGGCAGTTAAAAAAAATATATTCTATAAAAATATAATCTGCAGCCAGGCGCAGTGGCTCATGCCTGTAATCCCAGCACTTTGGGAGGCCGAGGAGGGCAGATCACGAGGTCAAGAGATCGAGACCATCCTGACCAACATGCTGAAACCCCGTCTCTACTAAAAATACAAAAATTAGCTGGGCGTGGTGGTGTGCACCTCTAGTCCCAGCTACTCGGGAGGCTGAGGCAGGAGAATCGCTTGAACTGGGAGGCAGAGGTTGCAGTGAGCAGAGATTGCGCCACTGCACTCCAGCCTGGTGACAGAGTGAGACTCTGTCTCAAAAAAAAAAAAAAAGAAAAAAATATATATAAAATGTGCAATCTATCGATGATAATTATCCTGACTGGAACAGAATTCAACTGAGGTGTTCAATATGACTTATCACCTACTCTATTTGATATATTGGTGTTTAATACCCACCATACTGTCGTCATTCCAAACACCAGACTGGGCTGCCTGTCCTTGGAATGAATCACTTGGTTGTTCATCCTGCATGCTAGTCTGATTGGAGCTGGTGGCCAAAGAGGGTTGCTCATTATTCTGGAGTGAAGAATGCTCTGAATCTGTGGATGAAGGTATATTAGGCGCTGGAATGTCATCTTGAAGAATCAAACATATCAAGTCCCCAGAAACAATCCCATATGAAGCCAAGGTCTCTTCATCTCCAGTGAGGGGATCCTTGTAGTTCAATGTAATTGTAAATCGGGTATTAGAACTGCCAAGAAAGACAGATAAGCATAGTAAGAACTACCTACTTCTAATACCTTCAATAGCACATCTGAAGCATACATAAGTACACAGTATGACCCTAGAAGAACTAAGTGATGAAGAGACAAGGTCTCACTATGTTGTCCAGGCTGGTCTCAAGCTCCTGGCCTCAAGCAATCCTCCTGCCTCAGCCTCCTGGGTTGCTGGGATTACAGGTATAAGCCACCATGTCCAGCTACATTTTTGTTTTTGTTTTCGTTTGTTTTTAGAGACAGAGTCTCACTCTGTTGCCCAGGCTGGAGTGAAGTGGCACAATCACAGCTCATGGCAGCCTCAAATTCCTGGGCTCAAGCAATCCTCTCACCTCAGCCTCCAGAGGAGCTAGGACTATAGGCACGCATTACCCTATCAAGCTTATAGTTTTGAGAAAATTATCAAAAGTATTTATCAATGAATGCCTAATCTATAGATTTCTAATGGCTAAAACTCTCCACCTGGGGGACGGGATACAGTAATCCTCTATCACTAATCCATGCTTTCCTCAATTCTAAGATGCACAAATTTTTTTTGACATCTTTGAAATTAAGATACTTCCTAAAATCAATGACATATCAATTGACAGCATTTTCCCCTGCTGTTACATAAAACAATATGTCTTACAAGTGACAGCAACTAAGATTCAGTGAAATACCTTTAAAATACAAATTAGATCACATCATTCCTTCACTTAAAATCTTCCAATAGCTTCTATTTGGAATCCTTAACCTAACTTCCAAAGCTCAACGTCTGACCTCTTCCCATTTCTCCTACTGCATCCTGTGCCATCCATCCTCTCTCACTGTTCTCTATTCACATGAGCTTTCCATCCGTTCCAAAAAGCAGATCAACTTCATTGCAGCCTTCGGGCCTCTCCGTTTGTTCTTCCAGATCTTCAAATGACTGACTCCTCTTCATCATTCCAGTCTCAGCCCAAATGTCACCTCTTCAGAGATGCCTTTCATTCAGACTCCAGCGCTCTCTATTCTGTTATGTTCTACTTGAAAACATCGTATTTACTTGTCTATGATCTGTCTACCCTACCTCTGCCACTACAACTTAAGTTTCATAAGATCAGCGATCTTGTCTGAACAGTTCAAACCATATCTTCAACACTGGCAAATAAAGTACTTGTGAAATAAATGCAACCACCAAACACTAGTTGGGAAGATCAAGAGATGAGCGTGAAATCAAGGATGTCTATTCAATATCCTTACAGGACAGTTTACTTATAATGGTTCCGAAAAACCAGATCCATATATTCATAATCACAAAAAGTTAGAGGAGTATTATGTATATGACTGAGTATAAATTCATCTCTCTTACTGATGATGACAAGCTAAATTCACCCTTCTACTGATCATCAGTTATGATGCCTTTTAGTGGAACATAGCGCAAACCCAAAAGCCCACGTTAAACAAGCTCAGAATTCAAATAAGCCCGGAAGCAACAAACTCCCATTCTTTCTGCATCACAGATTATTTGACATTAGAAGAATAAAATGTTTTTCATCACACAGTGGTGAGGAACAATAACAAAACATTATAAAACATTTTTAAAAACATTTACACTCAGCAATGCTAATTTCATTACTTTTTTGAGAGGTTAACAAAAGATGAAGTCCTTTAAAAATTATATTGTTTACTTATTCTTACAATGCTGCATTTTGAAAAGTGCTCCAAATAATTCTTGTTTTTATTTCACTCGTAAATATATTTTTTCTTACTGATTGAAGTGTCCTTGGTAGAGAAATTAAAATTACTGAAATAGAAGCTATTCCTGTTTGCTAGAAAACAAGTGGCCCTGCTTCTCTTTTCAAAATGCTTTGATAAACAAAACGTTGAAAATCTGCCATTTGCCCACAAAAACACCACCCCAACTTTGGCAGAAAAAGCAAAAACACCTCAAATGAACTATGTGTTTATGGGTCATTTGTCACAGCAAAAGGTTGCTTTTTAAAACAGTATCTAGTACAAGGTACGTTCAAGTATCTGTTTGCAGAAAAGGTCATGGTCCGCTTAATAAATATACCAGCTCTTCCTCCCACTTTAGAAAAAGGGAAAAGCTATTTCTAAAGTAATATATAGTTTTCCAGGATTCTACCTCTGAAATTGGGGCGTTAAGAGGAGTATTTAATTCCAGGAAATGAAATTCTAGAAACTCCAGCCTTCTTAGAAGTATTTCATGGCAGCTCTGCCTATGGAGTAGCCATTCTTTTATTCCTTTACTTTCTTAATAAACTTGCTTTCACTTTTCTCTTAAAAAACAAAAACAAAACAAATAAAAGCATTTCATGACAATCCTAGCTCCACTTGCTCAGTAAAGATATTTTTAAAATAATATCACATGGACATATTTTAAAACTGCACCTTTATTAGAAAATGAGTATACTTTCAGAAAAAATGAGTTTACTTTCACAAGCTGAAGCTTAAATTCTGTCCAGGTAACCAGCCTCAACTGTAAAAAGAAATCTGAAAGAGAAACCAACGTGCCCTTTTGGGCAGTCATATTGAGTTTCACGTCCTTTCAAGACTGCCTAATTTAAAAATAATAAAATATATATATACTTGGTAATACCTTTAAAAAATAAGTTTGAAGATTTATTCAATCTTCTACTCGTAACCTACTGGTAACGATGCCAGTATGTAAAACACACAGGTTTAACAACAAGAAATAACAGTAGGCATGTCACTTACTATAATGTTTAAAAGGAGTTATGTCAGTATCTTATTTAGGGTTTTTTTTTTAATCAGGAAGAAAACAGGCTTACTTTCAATCTAATAATGTCTTAACCAGGAAAATGAAAGGGCGAGAAGTTCAGAATAACGGCCTCATTTTACCCAATTCCCTAAAAATAAGGTGAAAACGTAGGAAGGTTTGCTTTTGTTTTGAAGAATTCACCTAAAAATCCCCAGGGAACATCTTTTTCATTTTTCCTTAGCACACTCAAGTTTCAAATTCACTAGCTCAGTATTTGAAGAGGACCACTCTTACCTTGCCGCTTTACTCCCAAATTATTGTCCCCAAAAAGTATCTTTTAGGGAAACAAAGCAGCTTCACCTGCAGTCCCACAAACCAATAACAGAATATGATCCTTTCTCAACTTTACTGCCCCCAAACTGCAAGCTCTCAAGATCAACGTTTGCCTCAGTTTTAGCAAAAAAGCAACATTTCACCCAAGAAAATGAAATGGTCTGAAACACGCCTACACGCTGTCCTTTCTAAAACTTTTCGGCGGCGAAGTCCAAGCGCTCACCGCGGTGCTCGGCGCATGAACACAACAGAATCTAAAATTGTTGCCGCTTCACAGCAGCGATACAAGCTACCGGTGGCCTCGGATTGAGGGCAGATTTTTAACTTCTAGCAATTTCCAAACTTTTTCATTGAAATACTCCAACAGCTGAAGAAATTAACTCGGACCCCTCACAGTCCAGAAAGGTTTAACCCAAGCCAAGCTCATCATTTCCAACTTGAAATCTAACCAGTTGTGGAAATTGTGCGTTCCCTCCTCTCCCTGGTTCCGTTTACTGCAAAACCAGAAGCCATGACTCACCGAGGAGGGGACCAGAGCCCCCGGGAGGCCGGGCCATGTTCTCCAGGAGCCGGACCCCAGCCGACCACCCGCGCTTCCCGTCGCCTGCACCCTCCGGCTCCGCGACGCCCGGAAGAGCCCGGGCCTCCCGTGAAGGCCCCCCCGGCGTCCCCGCACTTGGCCTATCGCCCGGCCACGCCCGCGCCTGCAGCCCACAGATGACGCCAACCCGCCCTGCACCCACCCCAAGCACTCCCCACTCCCCGCGGGCCGCCCAGCCCCGGCCCCAGCGTACCTGTACCCCCAGGTGCACAGCAGGGACTGCCTCAGGTGCGAGCGCAAATGCCCCAGCGTCGGCTCCGTCTCGGGCACCTCCAGCGGCCAGGTCCGCTTCAGAAGCCGCACCCGCAGCCTCATGACGGCGGCAGGCGGCCCGAGGGGCCTGGACCCGGAAGCGGCGACGGGGACGGCGGCGGGGCCGAGCAGCTCCCGCCCCAAACGGCGACGACCCCGGACTGGCGACTACCGGAGCTGAGGGGTAGCTGAGGCGAAACGGGGAAAGAGCCCCGCCACAGTGGCCGCCCTGCCACTCGGTCTCTGGAATAGAGCGCCCGCCCCTCTCCTGAGGGCGCCTCCTGGAGCCGACCCCGAGAGCTGGAGGCGGGCAGGCGGCCTAAAGGAACCGGGCCTCTCGGGGTCGGCCGATCGATGACTCCGCGCGCAACGGCGCTGCCTGAGAGCGCGGGCACAGTGCGCAGGCGCCGAGATGCGGCCGCTCGCTGGCATCCCAGATTTTCCGCGGCGGTGGCTGGGACTCCCAGTACTTACTCCCTGTGTGCGTGGAACAACGGTAGCGCTGATAGGGATGCTGCAGACAGACAATACAGTCGCCACTCCCCAGGACCAAGTGTCACCCCCTTTCTTCCGTGGCCCTCAGTTCCAGCGGCATCTGCTCTGAGAAGCCTTAGGTTAATCCTTAGGTTGGCCGGGCGCGGTGGCTCACGCCTGTAATCCCAGCACTTTGGGAGGCCGAGGCGGGTGGATCGTTTGAGCCCAGGAGTTCGAGACCAGCCTGGGCAACATGGTGAAACCCCCCCCCCCATCTCTACAAAAAATACAAAAAATTAGGTGTGGTGGCGCCTGCCTGTAGTCCCAGCTAGTTGGGTGGCTGAGGCGGGAGGGTCGATTGAGCCCGGAGGTCGAGGCCTCAATGAGCTGTGATCGCACCACTGCACCTCAGCCTGGTTCCACAGAACGAGACCCTGTCTCAAAAAAAAAGTAGAACTATTTGTAGCCAGTAATCTATGTCCGACAGTTTATTAGAACTCTGTGGCTGCATAACAATCACCCCAAAGTTTAACGCAATAAACATTTGTTGTCCCACAGGTTTTAGAGGTAAAGGGATTTGGGGATGCGTGGCTGGGTGGTTCTGTCTCCAGGTCTCCCATGAGATTACAAACTGTAGGCCAGGGCAGCAGTTATTGACTAGGGCTGGAGGATCGGCCTCCAGGATGGCACAGTCATGACTGTTGGCCAGAGACCTGTTTTCACCACGTGAACCTCCCCATAGGGCTGTTTGAGTGTCCCCATGACATGGCAGCTGGCTTCCTTCAGAGCAGGTGATCCCAGAGAGACCAAGGTATAAGCCACAATGTCTTTTATGACCTAGCTCCAGAGGTCACATACGGCTTTTGTCATATTTACAAACCAACCCTATGTGTGAGAGGATCCAGCCAAAGGTATGAATGCCAACAGACAGGGATCGCTGCGGGCCATCCTGGAGGCTGGCTACCATAGAGGGTCTAACTAATGATAACTTAGATGAGAGAGAGTATCAAGTTTCGTCCTTGTGTGATAACCATAGTCCAAATCCTTAGAGTCAAATAAAGTTTCTCCCAATAGGTGGCAGCACTTGTCCACATCCTGCCCTTGATTCTGCAAATAAATATGTATTGATTGCCTACTTTGTGACAGATACCCCACATGCTGGAGACTCAAGAGACCAAAAAGACATGTTTCTGCCCATGCAAAGTTTACAGTTGAGTGAATCAGCTCTTTCAGTAGAGTGTAAAAAGTCTCTGCTTTATGATAGACATAAATACAGACCTGAGGAATGGGATTGTTAGAAATGTTTGTTTTTTGATGTTGTAAAGAAATAGCACTTGAATATAAATTTAATTTTTTTAGCAAGGCCATTTTTATTTTTTGTAGAAAGGGTATACTCGCCAGCAGTTTTGTCACGAGAGTACACCGAACAAAGGAGACAGGGTCATATATAACCTGATGTGTCCACTTTACTGCTGTGTCTGGTTTTTTGTTTGTTTTTGTTTTTTTTTGTTGTTGTTGTTGTTTGAGATGGAGTCGCGCTCTGTCGCCCAGGCTGGAGTGCAGTGGCGTGATCTCGGCTCACTGCAAGCTCCGCCTCCTGGGTTCACGCCATTCTCCTGCCTCAGCCTCCCGAGTAGCTGGGACTACAGGCACCCGCCACCACACCTGGCTAATTTTTGTATTATTATTATTATTATTATTATTATTATTATTATTATTATTTTATTATTATTTTAGTGGAGATGGGGTTTCACCGTGTTAGCCAGGATGGTCTCGATCTCCTGACCTGATCCGCCCGCCTCGGCCTCCCAAAGTGCTGGGATTACAGGCGTGAGCCACCGCGCCTGGCCTGTGTCTGGTTTTTATTGGCTGGAATGGGACTTTATATTTTGTATTTGTCTTGATTGGCTAGTAATTTAGAACTTTTTAAAAGAGGCAAAGGCAGAGGAGAACAAAGCAAGGAGGAAGTAACTTGTGGAATGTTGAGAAAGGTCAACACCCCTTTAAGGAAGAGGAATAGGCTATGACTTAATGTTTGTTTGAACTAGTATAAATATGTTAGGGCAAATATTTAGGCTAAATTGTGGGAGTTAAGATTGTAAAGTACATTGATTTTTTTATTATGGCTAGCAGATATTTAAGAATGTTAGCATGGGTGTTTGAATACATTTTGGTTTTAAGAGGGTACATAGAGGAGGTTTGCCATGCCCGTAGGATTCTTTAGTAGTGAGCAGTGAGGAATGGTGCCAGGACCAGGATGACTCTGTGTGACCAGAGTGATGGACAGCATAGGTACATCCCAGATAAAGAAGAGCCTTGGGCTAAGCACAGGGTTTGGGACATATTCTAGAATGTATGGGAAGCCGCTAGACAGTTTTTAGCAGGGAGTCTTTACTATCAGGGTTCTTAATTTTCAGCAGTAGAAGCTGACTCTGGCTGACTAAGCAGAAAAGGTGTGTATTAAAAGGATGCTGTACAGCTCAGGGAATTCTAGGGAGGATGGAGAAGTGGCCCCAGGCTAAGCTTCCAAGAATGAAGCTCAGAACCAAGCTGAAAACTGGCCTGATGAGGAAAATACTAAGACTGGGATTGCTGCTGGAGGAAATCGCCATCACAACTGCTGGGATTCACTGGGGAATGGCTGCCACTGCCACTGTTAACATCAAATCCCACATGCTTTTGCAGCCTCCTGCATAATGCCAAACTTCCAAAAGAGCCTGTTTCTTCACCTTGCTCACTTCCACATCAAAAGCTCATAGGGATGTCTGATTGAGGAAGTCTGGGCCCCACACCTGGGTCCTGGCTACAAAGGAGACTGGGAATTGGGGTCTGAACTCCTTCCTCGGGGAGGCAAGACGTAGAATATTGGAATTTCCTCCCGAAAAAGGGAAGGCTATTCAAAAGATGGTGGGAAGCCTTGAATCTGACAGGTGTATACTAACTACTAGGGCAGGCTCAGATCTGTAATGTGAATCTATCACTAGGGATTATGATAGGATGTGGGGGATAGATTAGGGTTTCTCAGCCTCAGCACTATTGACATTTTGGACCACTTAAGTCTTTGTTGCAAGAGGCGGTTCTGTGTGTAGAATGTTTAGCAGCATCCATGGTCGCTATCCACAAAATGCTAGTAGAACCGTCTCCCTCCCCAGTTGTAAGAACCAAAGATGCCAACTATTCCCTGGGAGGAAATGCCACCTTGAGAACCAGTGGATTAGAGACCAGCTCTGTCTCTGTAGAAGATTTTTTTAAAATCTGCCAAGCATGGTGGTGCCCACTTACAGTCCCAGCTAACTAGGGAGGCTGAGGTGGGAGAATGCTGGAGCCTGGGAGGTTGAGGCTGCAGTGAGCCGTGATCACACCACTGCACTCCAGCTTGGGTTACAGAGTGAGACCCTATCTCGAAAAATAAAAATTACAAATAAAAAGAGGGAGGGATAGGGACAAAGTTGGAGGCGGGGGGTGCGGTAATTTTCCCAATTTGATCTGTAAACTTCAGTAATTATTTGAATCCTTTATCACAAGAATGTGTTCACATATTTATTGGATAGTTAAGAAAAATGTTATTAGGAATATCAGCATCTGATCATAGAGAGGAATGCTGTTTTCTGCCGCAAGGGCTAAACAGAATACTTGAATATACCATATTTCAGTGGCTCTCAACTGTGGCGACTTTGCCTGACAGGAGATATTTGATATAGTATAGAAACATTTTGTCACAACTAGGGTAGGAGGTTGTGGTGCTATTGGCATCTAATAGTAGGGATGCTACTAAACATTATTTATTTATTTATTTATTTTTTAGAAGGAGTCTTGCTCTGTTGCCAGGCTGGAGTGCGGTGGCACAATCTCAGCTCACTGCAACCTCCGCTTCCAGGGTTCAAGCCATTCTCCCGCCTTAGCCTCCCAAGTAGCTGAGATTACAGGCGTGTGCCACCACGCCCAGCTAATTTTTGTATTTGTGGTAGAGACAAGGTTTTACTTCATTGGCCAGGGTGGTCTCGAACTCCTGACCTCAAGTGATCTGCCCGCCTTGGCCTCCCAAAGTGCTAGGATTACAGGCATGAGCCCCCGCACCTGGCCTGCTAAACATTCTAGTATAGACAGGACAGCCCCCTACAACCAAGAATTATGTAGCTCAAAATGCCAGCAGGGCCAAAGTAAGGAAATCCTGGTCTACTTGGATTGGGCTCACACCATCGATTCCCAGATGTTTCAGAGTAATATCACACTATCTTGTTTGTTTGGTTCCATAATACCCTTCATATCTCAAAAAGTCACATATGAATTTAAATTTTAGCATGAATTTAAGTTCATTTTGAACTGCAGTAAGATAATGTGACTCCCTTCTAGATAACTAGTAACAATGGAAGGAACCGACGTGAGTAGGTTCATTTGTCAAAACCAAGAGAGCATCACTGCTCTAAACCGTTCCAGAGCGTGACTGGTGTGAGAAGTCACAGTCTGAGTCAGTCATTGATGTCCACCCAGAAACATCATTACACAGACATCAATGGAGTGTGGCCTGCGACAGAGCAGGGACAAGAGGAGGAGCTACTGCTGGGTGATAGGATGATTCTGCCAGACTTCTCCCCAGCCCTCCCAGGATGAACTGTAAGATGACTCATCACCTTCAGAATCACATGAACTCCAGGCAGCTTCTTCTGGCTAGAAATAAACTAGCTATTTCAAACAAACACATAAATCTGCGCTACACAGATTCAATTAGCAGCTCAGAAAACCAGATGGGTTGCCTAGCAACAGCATCCTTCTCTCTTGCCACCTTCTGCGTACCCTGGGTTGTGTGTTGCCCTTTAGTGACCTTCCTAAAAAGTCAGCATAGTATAGTGGTAAAAAGGCATATCCTTGAAAACGGAACACCTGGGTCCTGAATCCTGGCTCCGCAACTTACTAGCTGTAATGTCTAAGCTTAGGCAAGTTGTCCCACCTAGCGAATGGAAATAATATTAGTTCTTTATACAGTCTTGATGAGTATTTAGTGAATTCATATATGGATGGTGCCCAGAACATAACAAACAATAAATGTTAGCTCTTATTTTTCTCTACCCTATGTATCCTTCTTTAGGGTTTCCTTTTAACCAGATTTCACCAACGCAAACATTGGGGGCAATGAGCGATTGGAACTCACAGTGTCTTTTGCCCCAAGACTGCCCTATGTGGCGCCTCCCTCCATATCCACATAATCCCTCTTCCCTCCCACTTTTGTCTCCTAGCAAGAATAATATAATTTGTCCTCCAATCTCAAAAATGTTTGATCTTCAGTTAGCTCTTTCTTTTTTTCTTTTTTCTTTTTTTTGAGACAGAGTCTCGCTCTGTCGCCCAGGCTGGAGTGCAGTGGCGTGATCTCGGCTCACTGCAAGCTCTGCCTCCTGGGTTCACACCATCCTCCTACCTCAGCCTCCCCAGCAGCTGGGACTACAGGCACACGCCGCCATGCCCGGCTAATTTTATGTATTTTTTTTTTTTTTTTAGTAGAGACAGGGTTTCACCGTGTTTGCCAGGATGGTCTCCATCTCCTGACCTCGTGAGCTGCCCTCCTCAGCCTCCCAAAGTGCTAGAATTACAGGTGTGAGCCACCGCGCCCGGCCTAGTTAGCTCTTTCTATATGGTTATAGCCCAGACATTCTAGAAACCAAGAACAGGGATGCTCAGTTCCCTAACACTATCTCTTGACATCTCGTTTTAATGAACAAGTATTTCTAGCCAGTTATTTATGATTTTTCTTTTGGAGTCTTAATTAAGAGTGTTCCCTGATCTGCAAAGACAAACACACTGTCAGCTATTTGACAGTGTAATAATTAATCTTGCATTTTAGATTGCCGTCATGAGTAGGCTGAAGAAGCAGGCATTCCCAGCAAATCTTCTGTTAAATATGGAAAGCTAAAATAAACAGTGAAACTGGATAGGGTGCTGCTGGCTTTTGTTGTTGATGTTTTTAAAGATGAATTTGGCAAATGTGCCCTAAACAGCTAATTAGGAAGGCTAATTAGCTGATTTCTAAGGCCTCTTCCAAATAAAAGACAACAGACTAGCTACACTCTCTTCTTAGATCTTTGTTTCCTAGACTCTAATTATTTGAGCCCCTTTTTCAGAAATTATTCTATGTCCTAAGGCTGGGTACGGTGGCTCATGCCTGTAATACCAGCACTTTGGGAGGCCGAGTCGGGTGGATCACAAGGTCAGGAATTCGAGAACAGCCTGGCAAACATGGCAAAACCCCATCTGTACCAAAAATTCAAAAATTAGCCAGGCGTGGTGGTGGCGCCTGTAATCTCAGCTACTCAGGAGGCTGAGGCAGGAGAATTGCTTAACCCAGGAGCGGGAGGTTGCAGTGAGCCGAGTTGGTGCCACTGCCCTCCAGCCTGGGCAACAGAGTGAGACTAAATCTCAAAAAAAAAAAAAAAAGTATTCTATGTCCCATGTGAGCTGTACTGTTATTTACTTTTTTTTCCCATAAATCAACCCACTTCTTAAAATGTATATAATCTTATTTAAAAGGGAAAAGTTATATAAAGGGGAAACTTTTTAAATTTCCTAATAGAGGGTAACTGTAAAAAGTAAATACCATGAAAACTGAACTTTGTATACTTCTTAAAAACAAACCTTGTTTAAGATATCTTTGTAATTATTAACTTTAAATAAAAATAGATGAAATGCATCTAATTTATTGACACTGTGTGAAAAACATAGGTGCTGCCTCGTCTAATTTCATTCTCAAAATGACTCTTCAAAGTAAATGTGAGCTCCACTTTTAGAGGTGATGGCTCTGAGACCTGGAAGTGAAGTAAATTGTTCAAGGACCCAGCGTTGGAATGGGTAGCGCAGGTCCAGGTCCAGGGGAGGCGAGAGCCCTCATGACTGCAAGGCGAATCTCTACACCTTGCACTGTCTCTCCTCACCATTCTCATTCAAGCCAACCTCCCTCTTCTATCTTGTGGCAGACTCCTGGAATATACAGCAATGATTCTGGGGTTTTCACCAAAGATGTGGTTAGACTTTCAGGTCTTTTGTAACAGGAAGAAAAAGTATTTGCATCAGGAAAGATGGAAAGATACTGTTATTTTATGGTTGTTTGTTTGTTTGTTTGTTTGTTTGTTTTGAGAGGGAGTCTCGCTCTGTTGCCCAGGCTGAAGTGCAGTGGCGAGATCTTGGCTCACTGCAAGCTCTGCCTCCCAGGTTCACCCCATTCTCCTGCCTCAGCCTCCTGAGTAGCTGGGACTACAGGCGCCCACCACCAAGCCCGGCTAATTTTTTGTGTTTTTAGTAGAGACGGGGTTTCACTGTGTTAGCCAGGATGGTCTTGATCTCTTGACCTCGTGATCTGCCCGCCTCGGCCTCCCAAAGTGCTGGGATTACAGGCGTGAGCCACCACGCCCAGCCGATTGTTGGTTTCTTTCTAACAGAGAAAAGGAATTGAGAATGAGCAGGGGATGGGCTGGGCAGGGGCCAGACAGTGAAGGTGGGAGCAGGGGAAGAAGATGGAGCCAAGAAGCTGCTCTGGAGAGGAGAGAAACGAAAGAGGAGACCTCGGACCCTGGAGAAGGACAGGGAGAGAGGGGGCGGGGGAGGAAATTGATGTTGCCACCCGGGGAAAATAGTGAGGAAAAGGTAGAAAGATGTAGAGGTGTTTTGTGATTTTTTTTTTCCATATAGTGCTTTTGATGTTGTCCTTCATCTTCCATGTTGTCCTTCGTCTTCCATGTCTAGCTCTGTATTTTTTCTAATGCACAGTACAATTTCAAGAGCTTCTCTGCATAGCGCCTGAACTCATCTTCCACACTTTCAGTAGCACATGCACGTGGGAAGCTGCCTGCAATGATCTCATTCATTTCTGTGGCTTTAACTCCACCTTTCGGATGATGACTTAGACATTCATATTTCCAGTTGACCTCTTCCCTGAACTCTACCCACCTGACATCACCATTTACATCTCGAATACCATAACTTCTGCCCCAACTCCATTTCAGACAAACTGGCTCACCTTTGCAGTTCCCTCCACCTTTTCCTTTCAGCACTTTGCCTGCCTGGCTTCCAACGGTCACATCTCAGCGCAAATAATCACCTCCTCAGAGACGCCCACGTGGGTATCCTGATAAAATAAGCCCACCTCCCCCAGTTGCATTGCTCTACCTATTACAAGACCACCTTACCAACAACATTCCCTTAGTTCCGTCACAGTACATGTCACAATTTATACATTTTTGTTTATTTTATTGTTTGCTTATTTATTTTGTCTCCATCGACTAGAACATAAACTCCTCGTGGACAAAAATTTCATCTTTTTTGCTGAAGAGGACTTTGCACATTGTAGGTGCTCAGTAAATCTGTTGATTGAATGAATGAATTCATCTATGATGACCGACAATAAATGATCCCATGAAGAGCGTCTCTGCACCGTATCATTATTGATACGGCCACGTGCTAATGAGTAGAATTTCACAGCAGTTTACAGTTTTAATAGCGCATTCTCATGTGTTATTATGTTTTTCTTCACCAGAACCAATCAAGGAAGTTACTATTTCTATCCCCACTTTACCTTAAGGAAACTCAGTTCAAATCAGTAAGTATAACCCAAGGTATAACTCCCCTGAGAAGCTGTGAGAAGTATGGACAATGCCAAGTGAAAGCGTCTGTGGTTCCTTTCAGACTGACTTATCATCCTGATTTTCCCAGGACTGTTCTGGTTTTAGTACTGAAAATCCTGCATTCTTGGGAAACCAGGACAGTTGGTCACCGGGTCTTACCCAGAAAAGTGTAGATAAGCCATAAGAACTTCATGCAATCAGGCTGGGTGCGGTGGATCATGCCTGTAATCCCAGGACTTTGGGAGGCCAAGGCAGGTGGATCACTTGAGGTCAAGAGTTCAAGACCAGCCTGGCCAACATGGTGAAACCCCATCACTACTAAAAATACAAAAATTAGCCAAGTTTGGTGGTGCACACCTGTAATTCCAGCTACTCAGAGGGCTAAGGCACAAGAATCGCTTAAACCCTGGAGGCAGAGGTTGTAGTGAGCCAAGATCATGCCACTGCACTCCAGCCTGGGTGACAGTGAGACTGTCTCAAAAAAAAAAAAACCAAAAAACAAAAAAAAAAACTTCATACAATCAAATCCCTGGCCATCTAAAATACATTAATGGCCGGGTATGATGGCTCACATCTGTAATCCCAGCACTTATGAAGCCAACACGGGTGGATCAATCACATGAGGTCAGGAGTTCGAGACCAGCCTGGCCAATGCAGCGAAACCCTGTCTGTACTAAAAATACAAAAAATTAGCTGGGCGTGGTAGCGCACTCCTGTAATCCCAGCTACTAGGGAGGCTGAGGCAGGAGAATTGTTTGAACCCAGGGGGCGGAGGTTGCAGTGAGCCAAGATCGCTCCACTGCACTCCAGCCTGGGTGACAGAGTGAGACTCCATCTCAAAAAATAAATAAATAAAAATAAAAATAGATAAAACACATTAACTAAAATGAATTTATTGGAGATGAGAGTAGGGCTGGAGTTTGGAATCTGAAAATGTTAAGTTGCATAATAGTTGATGAACCCACCCACCCAACTTAGGTTTAAGGAATGCTGGAACAGTAAGTCATTAATAACATTCTGAAAAGGAGCGGACGGACACTGAGAGATGCCAACTGAGGTCCTACCCTGAGTGATAAGGTAACTAGGTCAGCCCGATTGTCAAGCCTCATGCTTTCAGACTGAATCTGATGATCCACCACAAGTCCCAAAGGTATTCTGGGCAGTAGTAGAGCCATCCACCGCAGGCACCCTGACCAGAAGGAACCAGCTTATGATTCCAGACAGGAAAATTCTTCCTCTTCCAATGCAGTTTAACACCGTTTTCAATCATTTTGGTAAAGTAGCCATCACAATTTCACAAGTGGTGTGTGTGTGTGTGTGTGTGTGTGTGTGTGTGTGTTTTGCAGGAAGATAATTATTGCATAGGTGGCACTGTCTGTTTATCTAGGTAGATACTGTAGTGCTCATTCATGCCATTGGGTAATTGTAGTGAAGCAATTATGTATCACATTTTGAAAGAGGCATTAAAAAAATTCACCACTGAGATGAGTCAGACTTAATTATCTTGGCTTTTTAGCAGCTGAGTTTAAGGCGCAAGGTGGAGAACACATCAGCTTCAAAGGCAGAGAGAATCGAAGGTGCTCTCCAGCTTTGGACACTTCCTCTGCTTGAGGTAAGACTCATGAACAAACTTCAGGTCTCTGCCAGCCATGATCTCCAAACTGGAGATGTCCCAGATTTGGTAGGACACTTTGAACAGGCAGCTGTCATATATCCTGGGTTATTATTATTGTCTGCCTAGATTTTTCTGTATCTTTGTTTGTTTGTTTGTGTGATGTCACATATGCGCACCTGGAGGCTTCTTAGGCAAAAGCTTTAGTGACAGCTAAACAGCCATAAGAGAGAAAAGAGTTGGTTTAAACCACCTACTTAGTTTTGCATCATGGAACAATGTTAAGAGGGTTGCTCAGTGATCTGGACTTATTTTTGCCTCCATTTCAGAGGGGAACCCAGCACAGTGGCAGAAAATTCTATCTTGTCTCTCAAAATCAGCATGGTTAGGACTAAGGAGTTGTTATAATCTCTGTGCTTTCAAGGCAGGTCTTAAAGCACATCAGTGACCTAGATCCTGCCAGAGCAAAACTAGCCACCCACTTGCCTGGACTGTTGAACTTGTTGGTGTTAGGCATAGAGTTTTGGGGAAAAGACATGCTATGAATTCTCAAGGTCCTTGTCATTAGAGATGTTGCTATAAAACTAGATGTGAGGAGTGGATCCCTTGAAATATTCTGCCCACGTTCCATACCTGTCGATTTAGACTTCTTATGTACGGTCATTTTGTCTTAACCAATATGTCGGAATACCCTTCTAGTTTAGACTTCTTTAAACCTGTTGAACTTAATTTTTCAACCTGCGCCTCTGTTTTGAAGGCTACATTTTACTCATTCATTACTCCCTTAATCGGTTTTTCCAGAGTCAGTCAAAGCTCTTGCCAAGCAGCAGTAGTAGTAGGACCATCTGTGAGTTTCAGGTGTTTTCTAAATTGGACTGGCATTTTCTTAGCTGTCAGGATGACTCACACAAGGACCATTTAATTTAGGAGTATTATTCTGTCTGTGTATTTGTATGGAAAAATAATGACTACTGAGATTTTGAATCTTGGAAAGAAGCAATTCCCCAGAAGCAACAAAATAGATAACTTGCTGGTGGGGTTTTTAAGTGATCTTGGATCCTTTTAACAGGCAACTAGCCCTGCCTGCACTTGTCAGCCAAATTACTTAACCTTTTAGTAGTCATCACCTTGCTTGACAAGGTTCCTTTCCTCCCCTGCCCATAAGTTATCATCGTAACTGAACAATTCAATGAAAAGTTATGTACAATTCACCCCTTCATACCCCAGTAATTTCTTTCACTCATAAAATTTCTAGAGGAAAAATATGTTTTCCTGCCTGTAATTTTGGATTCCTGGATCTCCATCAAAGTGTACCACTTCAGAAACTTTTTTTAACCAAGAAGGGAAAACAGGTTTTACTGCTGGCAGGGAATTTAAAACTCCAGTTGTGTCCAAGAAAATAAGAAGGGATTTGCACTGTGATGCTTGAACGTTTCTAGATGCTTATTGAATTTTTCCACCTTGAAAATGGTGTTTGGTTTTCTGTGCACATGTACCCTAGAACTTAAAGTGTAATAAAAAAAATTGAGTAACTTTTAAACAACAACAACAAAAAGGAAAATGGTGTCAAGCAACTCCTATTTAAAATTCCCAGATGAAAATGAAAACCCTAGCATGTATCGAGTCATTCAATAAAAATAAATTCATCAACACTAGAATTAGGAACCAGAAGAACAAGGTTGGGTTCCCAGGTGCCTTACTTACTGTGGGATCTTGGACGAGTCATCAGATTCTCTAAGCCTCCATGTCCACGTGTCTAAAATGGGAGTAAGATAATAAGAACATCCACTTCAAAGAACTGTGAGTTTTGTAAAGGGTAAAGAAATAAAAATTTATTATTTTAGTTGTTATTCCATTCACAAGTAATATTTCTTCTCTGGTTTATTATGTTTTTTTCACTATAGAAATGGAGAGCTCTATATTATATATGATAGTTTGGTTTTTCCTTTTTTTCTAACCATTTGTAGAACCTTTCTTAGTTGACTGGAATCTTTTAAGTCAGTCAGTTGATCAGTTAGCACATATTAATTTGGGTCTTACCATGTGCCAGGGAGAGATATCATGTCTGCCTTAATTTGCACACAGTCTAATAGGTACAGACATTTTGGTCTTAACATTCTTTCCCATTGCATTCCATTGCTATGAAAATATTTTTCTTTTTTTTTTCTTTTTTTTCTTTTTTCTTTTTTTTTTTTTTTTTTTTTTGAGATGGAGTCTCGCTCTGTCGCCAGACTGGAGTGCAGTGGCACAATCTTGGCTCACTGCAACCTCTGCCTCCTGGGTTCAAGTGATTCTCCTGCCTCAGCCTCCCACATAGCTGGGACTACAGGTGTGCGCCACCACACCTGGTTAATTTTTGTATTTTTAGTAGAGACAGTTTCACCATGTTAGCCAGGATGGCCTTGATCTCTTGACCTCATGATCCGCCCACCTTGGCCTTCCAAGGTGCCAGGATTATAGGCGTGAGCCACCACGCCCGGCCTATTTTTGCTCTTTTAAAACAAAAATCTCTCTAATGCCTGTCTTGGCATAACACATCCATTTACAATTTTTAGCCGGCAGTGATATTAGCAAGACTGCTTTTCAGTTTGGCCTCGCCATATGTTAAAATGTGGAAATGCTCCTATACCAGTTGGTCAGCAGCCACTAACCTGAGTCCCAGAAGTGTTCTCCTCACTCCCATAGTTCATCTCTACTTATCCCCCTTTCCAGGACACCTTGACTAACCTCCAAGGGCAACTAAAGGATCAAGAAAGGCCCAGCACAGCAGAAGATCAGCTGGATCTAGCTCCTGCAGGAGGTACATGCATCCATTCAGAGTGTTAAGATGCTGTTACTGTCACTCTGCCTCTCAGGACATGGAGGGCTTTACACCCCCTTATCCCACTCACCACATTTCCTCCAACCTTCAGATCACTCATTGCTTGGCCAGAGATCCTCCTCTCCTACCCAAATCCCTTCCCCTCAGCTCTCAACCCTCCCATTTCCCTGTGCTTCCCTTAGTGCTGTCTGCACCCTGACCACCCTCAAGTCATCCTTTCTTAGCTCTGCTCCCAACACTGCTCCCCAGTTTCCCTCTGTAACTTGTCCTGTAGAACCCAAACCAGCTCTTTAGGGCTGAAATATCATGCTGGATTCATAAGGCCATATCAGTGGTAAAATACCAAAATGCCTTAATAGCTAAGGGTAAGGAGCCAATACTCTGAGTGTCCCCCTCCTATTCCCAGTGCCCCCAACTACTCTGGCCCCTCCTGTAAGACATCCCCTGTCCTCCCCATGATCTGGCACTCAACTTCCTGGCCCCTGCTCCAGGACTGTGGCCAACATCTGTTTCGATGGATGCCTGCAGTTTACTAGTACACAAATACTTTGTTAACCATCTCTGTAAAGAAGTGTAATACATGATAGAGTAAGGTAAGGGATATTCCTTCATTTATTCATTCTACCATTGATTCATTCTACCAACACTTAACAGTCACTCACTCTATCCCAGGCACTGAGCCAGACCTAGGACCTCCAAACCAGTTGCAGTCTCTGCCTTCAGGCACTTATATTCTGGTAGGGAAGGCAAATCATAAGCCAGAAAAGAAACATACACGCATGAATAAATATGTATTTTGATCAAGGGTTAAAAGGAAATGAAATTAACTCAGGGAAGTCATAAATGGCTTTAGAAAGAAGATGGTGCTTTAAATGGGCCTTAGGGATATGCACGGTTTCTGCAGGCATAGGCAGAGGGGAAAAACATAGGCAATAGCATTAGGCAGAAAACGTGGCATGTGTTTAGGGACCAGTAGTTCAGTTTGGCTGGATGGTGGGGTATAGAGGGGGCTCCTAGGAGATCAGGTGAGAGATGTAAGCAGGTTGACCCAGCCAGCCTTCTCAGACCTGAAGATGAACTTACCCACAGACAGGTGAAGACCTTATTTCTAAACCTTTGGCCTCCAGCAAAATACCCACATAAGCATTCACTAATCTGAGCACAGGCCCCCTGTGTAAGTTGGGGAGTTTGTGCACTAGACAAAATTCCAGCCCAATGGATACATAGGATAGCCCTTCCACCTCCCACCCAGCTGCGTACACTGGTGTGGGGTTTTCCTAAAATGCTTTCCACTGGCTCCACTTTGTGCCAAGAGGCTGGCATCTCTCCAGAGGGGCGCCTTTTCCCATTTCACACAAAAGCCCAAGATAGGCTAGCAGTGGCCTTGCCTGGACACTTCCATCCCTAATCAGACTGCTCTGTTCTTTTCAAGCAAATTCTCTAGAAGTCCCTTTATATACATTGCCCCATTCCCACCTCCATGGCCTCACCTTAAAGCCTACTCACCCCCCTTAATCAAACCTCTCACCTACTTCGGCCAAGGGCTCCACCTCTTACAGTGACCTCTTTTCCTTCACCCAGGCTGCTTCTGAATCCTACTCATCTCTGAATCCTTACCTGACCACCTGGCCTGACCCCTCCCTCTATCTAAACACATGGCTCTCACAGTTTCCTCTTTTTTTATTTTATTTTATTTTATTTTGAGACAGGATCTTGCTCCGTTGCCCAAGCTGGAGTGCAGTGGCATGATCACAGCTCACTGCAGCCTCCACCTCCCAGGCTCAAGCAATTCTCCCATCTCAGCCTCCCAAGTTGCTGGGATTACAGGTGTGTACCACCATCCTCAGCTAATTTTTTAGTTTTTTTTTTAATTTTTATTTTTTATTTTTGGAAATGGAGTCTCACTCTGTCGCCCAGGCTGGAGTGCAGTGGCATGATCTCGGCTCACTGCAAGCTCCGCCTCCCGGATTCATGCCATTCTCCTGCCTCAGCGTCCCGAGTAGCTGGGACTACAAGCGCCCGCCACCACACCCAGCTAATTTTTTGTATTTTTAGTAGAGATGGGATTTCACCACGTTAGCCAGGATGGTCTCAATCTCCTGACCTCGTGATCCACCCGCCTCGGCCTCCCAAAGTGCTGGGATTACAGGCATGAGCCACCGTGCCCAGCCTTATTTTTTATTTTTTGTAGAGATGGGGTCCTGCCATGTTCCACAGGCTGGTCTCAAACTCCTGGGCTCAAGCAGTCCTCCTGCCTTGGCCTCCCAAAGTGCTGGTATTATAGGTATGAGCCACCACACCTGGCTTACTTCTTCCTCTCTGACCACATCCACAAGGTCACCTTCCTGGGCCTTCCTTGATTTGTTTCATGTTTGTGTGTTAGCGCAGTGGTACCTGCCACCTGTGAGTCTTTTGCATGTGTAAGTGCAGCAGTGATAGCTCACCCAGATTGTAACTTCCAAACTAGAAAGAAGGCCTGTGAATATATTACTCACTTGATTTTCATTAAAAGAAACCCAAATTACTGCTGCTTTTGGGACCTGTGCTTCATCTATCAAGAAAATGGGATGCCATTAATTTGTTTGGTCTATTAATTCAACAAGCATACGTTAATCATTCATGTATGCCAAGTATGGGTGATATAACAGTGAGTAAGATGTGGTCCCACTCTTTGCAGAGAATGTTTATTTCATCAAAAATCTGTTGTGTGCCTACTATGTGCCAGGTATTGTACTGGACTCCAGAGTTATAGAAGTAAGACACAATCCCCATGACAAAGGGATAGACAAGTAAAAAGACAGTCACAATACGGGATGGTGTATACTAAGATTAAGGGCTTCCCCAGGTGCTGGAGAACCCATAAGGCACACATGGCCCAATTCACAGCTTGTGAAAGAGACTTCATTCATTCATTCATTCCATCTGCCATTCAGTAGTTCCCTAATGCCTGCTGTGTGCCAGTCACTATTCAAGGTGCTGAAGTGATGAAGTCCTTCCCCATGAAGCCTAAAAATTCCAGCAGAGGAGATAGACAATACACACATCAGTAACTGGATACTACACTAGATGATGATAAGTGCTTTGGAGAAAATAAAGCAATGGTGGAGTCATAATAACAGGGCCACAGGGAAGGTGTCCATGTTCTGCATTGAGTGGCTAGGAAAGACTTTGCTGAGACGACATTTGAGTTATCTGAAGAAGTGCAAGACCGGGTTCTTTGAGGAAGACTATGCCAGGAAGAGGAAACAGCAAATACAAAGATCCTGGTGTACAGGCTACTTAGATCATTAAAGAAAGATCAAGTTAGCCAGTGATGCTGGGATCATGAGAGCCAGGTGTGTGTGTTAAGGACAGAGGTCAATGAGGAAGTGGAGGCATAGGGTCATTCCATCAGCTACAAGGCCCTCTACACCTTGTAGCTGATAAAATGACTTCGGCGTTTACACTGAGTAAGAAGGGGAACCACTGAAGGGCTTTAATGGGGGTGGGGAGTAACATGATCTAACTTTCATTTTAAGAGGCTCACTCTGGCTGTGGTGTGGAGAATGGCCAGAAAGGAGCAATGGCCGAAGCAGAGAGACCAGTAAGGAGGCTATCACAAAAATCTATGTGAAATGGTACTGGCTTGAACCAGGGTAAGAGGAGAAGTCCTGCCTGCAAACAGACAACATCGTGTATCAGATGTTCTAATGGACGCATATGCACTGTGTAAAGTGTGGTGGGATCCCAGAGTAGAATGTGATGAGCCCAGGGTAAAATGACTTGGTGAGGGAAGTTTTCACAGAGAGGGACATGGAGCTGGCCCTGAAGGATGCATATTCACTACTAGTCTGTGAAAAACATAGGTCAGGGGCCATGTGTAGGTCAACACTACACCCTTAGCACCTAGAACACATGCTGGTGTGTTCAATAAATGATTGCTGAATGAATGGATGGATGGGTGGGAGAGCGCATGGATGGATGGATGGATGGATGGATGGATGGATGGATGGACGGATGGATGGTTGGATGGATGGATGGATGGATGGATGAATGGATGGATTGGATGGATGTATTGAGTTCTGGAAGTAAACAGTAAAAATGAGAAAATCTAGAAATGTTGGATTTAATTGACCAAAGAGAAAGTCAAGAATAATAAAGGAACCTTAACTGTTGGTTAATTTCAGATGTGTACAAAGACAATCCCAGTCCTCTGGGGATGTTTCCTCCTGTGGAATCTCTATGTCTCATCCTCTCAGACCATTTACCCTGGAATCAAGGCAAGGATTACTCAGAGGGCACTTGACTATGGTGAGTTGGATGTTTTCAGAAGCCAGACCTCAGGCCCACTAGGTGGGGTCTGTGACCCAAACTGAACAGCTCATAACATGGGCTGTCTCCTGACTGAGAAACGCCGTACTGTGGGGTGATCCAGTACCTTATGCAGAAACTGCTAAGATGGCTGCGAAGAAAGCGTTGCCTAAAAAATAGTCAACTTGATGGGAGGCATGTCCAAACACAGCACAGATTCTCATTGTCTCTCTCTCTTTCCCATATATACACATAATGAACATCTGAGGGTTCCAAATAAGACACATTTGTAGGATACAGGAAAGGAAATTTGAAAGTAAAAGTAACACCTTGGGGCTTCAGAAAGGGCTTGGTTTCAAAAGGGACTTAGAATCCCCTAAAATTGGGTTAAAATGTAATATGGGTGACTGCATTTTTCTGAGGAGAGGCTCCTTCATATTTATTGGATGTGGGAAGGAGTCTGAAACACTGAAAGGTTAAAAGCCACTCCTTTAGAGAACATTTATAAACACTAGGGAGAGACAAACGTTGGGATGTGATTTTCCTTGGGCTAAGATGAGGTGGGAGCAGATTGTGGAGAGGGAATGGACTGCAAAAATCAAAGTATATGGACCTGTTTTCTCCTGTGAAATTTTACTTGAGATTAGCTAAGGGTAGGTTGATGATGGAGCTTTCTCAGTCCTCTTTAACTAAAGCAGTCAACCTAAGCACTGCTAGTCTAACCAAGAAATACCTAACTAAGCCTAACTAAGAAATGCTTCTTCTACTATACCAGAAAAAATAAAATAAATAAATGAGGGAAGGGAGGGAGGGAGGGAGGGAAGAAAGAAAGAAAGAAGGATTGAGGGAGGGAGGGAAGGAGGGAGGGAGGGAGAGAGGGAAGAAAGAAGGATTTAGAGACAACTCCTTGTTTTTCTGCTAGTACATCATCTAGTGCAGGAGATCTAAAATTGAGCCATCTTGCACAAATGTTATGTGGACAATGGTGTGTGTAGAAATACGTACCAGGAATATATGTATGTGTATATGCATGTGTGTGTATCTTGTTACTATACTGATGTGCTGATGTGCAAAGAAATACATATCAGAAACAGATATCTTGTAACAGTATTAAAGTTGTGCAGTTCTTTTCTTCACCTTCTGGAGCAGAGTCATTAAAAGAACAGATCTGAAGTCTATCCACATGGCTGTAAATGTCAGTTCTGTTGCTTTCCTTGATACATGGCCTTGGGCCAGTGGATTTTCTCATATGGAAAATGGGATGATAAAAATGGTGCCTACCTACCTACACTTAGTGTGAGGTGAGGATCAAACGGGATCATCCATGGGCTATAATCCCACCCACAGGAAATATAGCATGGGCTAGTGGAGAAGGGCAGCCTTTGAATTCAGAATCATTTCTTGAGCATCTACCATGGCCGGCCTCTTTGAATGTGCTTTCTGGGCTGTGTGTTGATCTAATTCCACCAACAACCCTACAAATAAGCTGTTGTCATTTTATAGAGGAGGAATATGACATTTCCCAAGTCTCACAGCAGTAAGGGACTCAGGCAAATATGAATTCAGGTCTGTGCTGCCGGAGCTTGAAACCTGCACTCTATCATCTACTCCCTGTTCCTCCAAGCTCTGGATAATGCTGCTCACTAGCTGTGGGCTCTCGGGCAAGTTACTGAACCTCCCTGAGCCTCAGCTGCCTCCTTTGTGAAACAAGGATAATAACACCTCGTCACTGGGTTGCTGTGAGGATCCAAGAAGAGAGGAGAGAACGTATGTGGAGTCCTAGCATAGACAGGCACTCAATACAAATTAGGTATTTTTAAAATTTTATCAATGATTTATGCCTCCACATTTTCTAGTAAGAGATCTGATGTGTCTGTTATTAGTAATATCTGCAAGATATTTTTTTAAATGGAAGGCCAGGCGTGGTGGCTCATACCTGTAATCCCAACGCTTTGGGAGGCCGAGGCAGGAGGATCACGAGGTCAAGAGATCGAGACCATCCAGGTCAACATGGTGAAACCCGATCTCTACTAAAAATACAAAAATTAACTGGGCATTGTGGCATGCGCCTGTAGTCCCAGCTACTTGGGAGGCTGAGGCAGGAGAATCACTTGAACCCAGGAGGCAGAGGTTGCAGTGAGCTGAGATCGCACCACTACACTCCAGCCTGGTGACAGAGCGAGACTCTGTCTCAAAAAAAAAAAAAAAAAATGGAGATGAAAATGAAAATTATAGTACCTACCCATAGGATTGTTGTGGAAAATAAATGAATTAACATACGTAAAGCGCTTAGAATGCTGTCTGGCCATAGCAAATATGGCCCAACAAGTATCAGCTACTGTCATTTTCACATGTGTGAACAGACCCCTCCAAGGTTACTATTGTCATAGATGAAGAAAGTAAGAGACAGAGAAGCTATGTAACTTGCAGAGTCACACAAGCTATTCAGTGGCAAAGTTGGGATTCAAACCTAAGCTCTCTGGTAGTGCCTCTGGCTCTATCTTCACATCCTTTATATCTGTCTTTGCATCACCATATTGCAATATTTTTTTCTGGCATTTTAGAGGATAAAACCTGCTCTTCTTCATCCCCAACAAGGATAGGATAACTGGAAAGGAACTTAAACTGCAAAATAAGGGGATAAAGGCAATATTTCCTCCTTGAAAAGGGTGAAAGTAAATGTTCTTCATTAACTATGGAGGTTACTTTTCTCAAGCTCTTTAATGTGGGAGAGGTCTCTTTTCCCCAATGAGCTCAGAGAAATGTGTCGTGTGATGCTTCCATATAAAGAAGCTGATGAGTTATTCCAGGATGAAACAAAAGCAGTCGTTATTAAGTTTTTAAAAATATCAGGATCCTTTGACAATCTGGTCAAAATGTAGATTCTCTCCCTTCAAAAACGAGACACATATGCACACACGACTCACCCACAGTTTTTTATTAGAATTTCATGTAGTTCAGGAGTTTCCTACAGCCCAAGAACCACAGGCCAAAAATTCTTGAGCTTAAAGAATCTGAAAGGAAAAAAGAGTGTGGAATAACCTTCTGGAACTGTCCATAGCACACAGATTCTGGAGCCGAAGTGTCTGAATTTGACCACTGGCTCCCCTAGTTCTTAGCTGTATGATTTGGGCAACAGTGAACTTCTCTGAGGCTCAGGGTCTTACTCTACTGCCCAGGTTAGAGTACAATGGTGCAATCATGGCTTACTGCAGCCTCGACCTCCAGGACCTAAGCAATCCTTCCAACTCAGCATCCTGAGTCACTGGTACTATAGACATGCACCATTATGCCCAGCTAATTTTTTAATTTTTTTTTTTGTTGTTGTTGTTGTTGTTTGTTTTTGTAGAGACAGGATCTCAATGTTTCCCAGACTGGTTTCAAACTCCTTGGCTCAAGCGATCCTCCCGCCTCAACCTCCCAAAGTGCTGGGATTACAGGCATGAGCTACTGCTCCTGACCTGAAGAAAATGTTATACTTTTCTTCTCACACTGTTCTGTGATAAAACTCTTTAGTCCTCCTGACGTAATGAAAATGTCTCATGTTAGCTCTGTGGTCTTGGACAAGTTCCTTAGCCTCTCTGAGAACCAGAGTTTTCATCTGTAAACCAGAGACAATAATACCCACTTTGTGGGGTTGCCATTTTCTAAGTATCTAAGGGCATGTCTCACTCAATAAATTGTATTTGTGTGGTTAATGTTATTATGCTATTATTATCTTTGTCATTATCAACAGATTCTTTCTTGTTTCCTTCACAGGTGTTCAAGCTGGAATGAAGATGATTGAGCAAATGCTAAAAGAAAAGAAACTCCCAGATTTAAGCGGTTCTGAGTCTCTTGAATTTCTAAAAGTTGATTATGTAAACTACAATTTTTCAAAGTAAGTAAAAAGAAGAGCATTTTGCCTCTTATAAGAAGCTCAAAGGAAACAGTGGAGGAATTCTATGGAAGCCCCACGATTTCATCAGAATCCAGCCTTCTTATCTTTTTCTGTTCTGCTGTCCTTAGCTCTGGTTTCTATTCTCAAGTTTGCCTCATGGCTCAATATGGCCACTGCGGTTCCAGCCATCAAATCATCATGTTTCAGGCAGCTAAAAGGAGGAAGAGACGAGGGTAAAGGCGTTCTTAAAAGCTGAGTCAGTCTTCTTTTTTAATGAGTTTTTCTGAAGCTCTACCCTAATAAGATCCTGCCTAACCAACAATGGACAGAACTTAATTATATGGCCACATTTATTAGCAAGGGAGACTGGAAAACTAGTTTTCCAACCAAACAAGTTTGTCGTTCCCAATAAAATCAGGAATGTTCAGGGAAGAAAGTGAATTGGAAGTTCAGACAGCAACTGACAATCTCTGCCATAGTCTCCAGCAAAAGCCCCAAAGGCAGTATAAGGAGAGGATAGCTTTGTCCATCTGGAGCTCAGTCTTAAAGGTCAAGGGAGAGTCAAGCTCTTCTAAGGGGTTCTCTGTGACTGTGATTCACAATTTGCCCCAATTGTTAAAGATTTTACCCATCCAGTGATAATTCCCTGCTACTCCAACCCTTTGGGGTGATCATTCCCCTGCTGTCAATGATAATATTCTATAAAACCAAGAGGTTTTTTGTTTTTTGTGTTTTTTTTTTTTTTGAGACGGAGTCTTGCTCTGTTGCCTAGGCTGGAGTGCAGTGGCGCGATCTCGGCTCACTGCAAGCTCTGCCTCCAGGTTCATGCCATTCTCCTGCCTCAGCCTCCCAAGTAGCTGGGACTACAGGCACCCGCCACCACGCCCGGCTAATTTTTTTTTGTATTTTTAGTAGAGACGGGGTTTCACCGTGTTAGCCAGGATGGTCTCGATCTCCTGACCTAGTGATCGGCCGCCTTTGGCCTCCCAAAGTGCTGGGATTACAGGCGTGAGCCACCACGCCCAGCCCAAAACCAAGATGTTTTGACAAGGAGGAAGAGAGATGGTGACTTAGGGAAAGTTTCTGGCTAATGCTCTGATCTGTATAAAGTTAGCCATTCAACAAGTATTTATTGAGCACCTGCTACATATCAAGCCTTGTCCTAGGAACAGGGGATATTAGGCTGGGCTCAGTGGCTCACACGTGTAATCCCAACCCTTTGGGAGGCCGAGGTGGGAGGATCACTTGAGCTCAGGAGTTTGAGACCAGCCTGGGCAACATGACGAAAACCCATCTCTACCAAAAATACAAAAAATTAGCTGGGCATGATGGTGCACACCTGTAGTCCCAGTGACATGGGAGGCTGAGGTGGGAGGATCACTGGAGCCCTGGAGGTCAAGGTTGCAGTGATCCATGATTGTGCCACTGCACTCCAGCCTGGACAAAGTGAGACCCTGTCTCAAAAAAAGAGAAAGCAATAGGGGATATTGTAGTGAACAACATACCTGCCCTTAAAGTCCAGTGGGAGAGATGGACATTAAATATATATTTACAAAACTAATTATTTAATTACAGTAATAATGCCACAGCAGAAAGTACAGGAAGAATTGTACAATATCATGTGTAGGTGGAGATGGGGAGAAACAGGTATTTTCTTTTTTTAAAAATTTATTTATATATATATTTATTATACTTTAAGTTCTAGGGTACATGTGCACGACGTGCAGGTTTGTTACATATGTATACATGTGCCATGTTGGTGTGCTGCACCCATTAACTCGTCGTTTACATTAGGTATATCTCCTAATGCTATCCCTCCACCCTACCCCAACCTGCCCCACAACAGGCCCCGGTGTGTGATATTCCCCTTCCTGTGTCCAAGTGTTCTCAATGTTCAATTCCCACCTATGAGTGAGAACATGTGGTGTTTGGTTTTTTGTCCTTGCCAGGGATCTAGAACTAGAAATACCATTTGACCCAGCCATCCCATTACTGGGTATATACCCAAAGGAGTATAAATCATATTGCTGTAAAGACACATGCACACGTATGTTTATCGTGGCACTACTCACAATAGCAAAGACTTGGAACCAGCCCAAATGTCCAACTATGATAGACTGGATTAAGAAAATGTGGCACATATACACCATGGAATACTATGCAGCCATAAAAAATGATGAGTTCATGTCCTTTGTAGGGACGTGGATGAAGCTGGAAACAGGTATTTTCATGCATTGCTAGACAGGGTGGATAAACCAATACAATCGTTTTAGGCCTGTGCTGTCTAAACAGTAGCCACTAGCCACAGGTGGCTATTAAACACTAAATGCAGCTAGTACAACTGAGGAAATGCATTTTTATTTATTTGATTTTCATTAATTTTAATTATAAAAACTGATGCTCAGTTTGACTACTGAAAAGCTTTTAAGTATGTTTGGAACAATTTTGTAAGTTTACTTTTTCAACTGAAAATCTTATCAAATCTAAATACAGGTTGAGTATCCCTTATCCAAAATGCTTGGAACAAGACGTATTTCAGATTTTTAATTGTTTTGAATTTTGGAATATTTGCTTTATACTTACTTATCATCCCTAATCCAAAAATCCAAAATGCTCCAAGGGGCATTTCCTTTGAGCATCATGTCAGCACTTAAAAATTTTGGATTTGGGATGCTAAACATATATAGGTCAGTATCTCTCATAAAATCCAATGTTTGAATTGAGGTGTATCATGAGTATAAGATACATACGAGATTTTGAAAACTTATTTTTTTAAAAAAAGAAAATATCTCATTAGTAATTTTTATATTGGTTACATATTCATATGACAATGTTTTACATATATTGGCTTAAGTAAATATATTAAGAAAATTAATTTCACCTCTCTTTTCCCTTTTTAAAATGTGATTACTACAAGATTTTAAATTACTGTCATGCATTGCTTAACAACAGGAATATGTTCTGAGAAATGCCTTATTAAGTGATTTCATTATTGTGCAAACATTATACGGTGTATTTACACGAACCTAGATGGTATAGCTAACTACATACCTAGGCTATATGACATAGCCTGTTGCTCCTAGGCTACAAACCTGTAAAACATGAGACTGCACTGAATACTGTAAGCAATTGTAATACAATGGTAAGTACTTTTGTATCTAAGCATATCTAGTCATAGAAAAGGGACAGTAAAAATACAGTATATAATCTTATATATATGTGTGTATATATGTGTATATATGTGTGTGTGTGTGTGTGTGTGTGTGTGTGTGTGTGTGTGTGTGTGTGTATGCTCTTTGACCCAACAATTCCACTGCTCAGCATCCTCCTTAGAGAAGTACATGTACACGGCTGGGCGTGATGGCTCACGCTTGTAATCCCAGCACTTTGGGAGGCCAAGGTGGGTGGATCAGAAGGTCAGGAGATCGAGACCATCCTGGCTAACACGGTGAAACCCCATCTCTACTAAAAGTACAAAAAATTAGCCGGGCATGGTGGTGGGCGCCTATAGTCCCAGCTACTCCAGAGGCTGAGGCAAGAGAATGGCGTGAACCCGGGAGGCGGAGCTTGTAGTGAGCCGAGATCATGCCACTGCACTCCAGCCCGGGCGACAGAGTGAAACTCCATCTCAAAAAAGAAAAAAAGAGAAGTACATGTACACAAGCAGTATGTATGAGGATGTTCACTGTGACATTGTATATAATACAGAAGTGCTAGAAAGAACCTAGATGTCCACCAACATAGGAATGATTTTTTTGAAATGGTACATCCATCCACAGTTTGAAATACTCTGCAGCAGTTATAAAGAATTGGTTAGACCTGCATGTATCAAAATGAAAATATTTCCAAGATATAGTAAATGAATCTCTGCCATCCTCTTCCCACAGTGGGACTCAGGATGCGTGACAGAGACTAGGTAGGAAAGGATGCATAGAAGAGGAAATATTATTAGCAAATAATTGTTTCTTATCAGCTATCACATTTATGTTTTAAATTTTTCTTCATCTTCATTCACAACAATCCCTTTCTTGGGTGCAGTAATTATACACAAATGAAGTCATTTTGTCTCCCCGCCCCTACCTGTGAGTAGCACTTCTTTTGAGTGATTGAATCTGGTTAAGCGCCTTGCCCAAGTTTTTACAGCTGGTACTAAACTTGGCTCCAAGTCAAGCACTCTTTGCACAATATGTGAAGTGGCATAGCCTCGTGGTGAAGAGTCTGAAGTCAGACTGAGGAGGGTTCCAGGTCTGGTTCTGCCACTTATATATGACTTCAGCCACTTTTTTTATCTTCTTATCTTTGAAATGGGGATTGCAAAAACAGCAACCACCTCATAGGATTACTGTGAGAGTTAAAATGAGCTAATGCGTGTAATGCACTTACCACAATGCCTGGCAGGTAGCAACCACTCAATAGATATTCATAATAATTTCTTTTTTTTTTTTTGAGACGAAGTCTCACACTGTCACCCGGGCTGGTGTGCAGTGGGGCGATCTCGGCTCACTGCAGCCTCCACTCCTGGGTTCAAGGGATTCTCCTGCCTCAGCCTCCCAAGTAGCTGGGACTACAGGCACATGCCACCACACCCGGTTAATTTTTATATTTTTAGTAGACACGGGGTTTCACTATGTTGGCCAGGCTGGTCTCGAACTCCTGACCTTGTGATCTGCCCGCCTCGGCCTCCCAAAGTGCTGGGATTACAGGCGTGAGCCACCGCGCCCAGCTGTTCATAATAATTTCTTATAATGCATGTGGCCATCTACCTTTGCAGGTTACATGCAACTCACTGCCTCCTAGTTACCCTTTTGACAGCCCAGAGAATCCTAGGGGAAGTCAACTCTCTAAGTTTCTCCACTAGCAAAGATACTGTCCACATAGAGGACATTTGGAAATAGGAGGAAGGCACGTTTCTGATTGTCCCAATGACAGGTGGGGAGGGACACTACTGGCATATGCACCAAATGTCCTGTAATGTGTATGATAGTCCTCTACAAAAATAGCTGTGCCAAGGGCTGGACACAGTGGCTCACGCCTATAATCCCAGCACTTTGGGAGGCCGAGGCGGGCAGATCACGAGGTCAGGTCAGGAGATCAAGACCATCCTGGCTAACATGGTGAAAGCCCGTCTCTACTAAAAATACAAAAAATTATCCAGGTGTGGTGGCATGCGCCTGTAGTCCCAGCTACTTGGGAGGCTGAGGCAGGAGAATCCCTTGAACCCAGGAGGCGGAGATTGCAGTGAGCTGAGATCGTGCCACTGCACTCCAGCCTGGGTGACAGAGCGAGACTCTGTCTCAAAAAAAAAAAAGAAAAAAGAAAAAAAATAGCTGGGCCGTGCAAAATACAAATATCACCCCTTTCGTGAAACACTGGAACTGCTGAAGGAAAAATAATGATGGCAATGTTGTGCCTTTTTTTTGTCTTTAAATAAGCTAAACAAGTAGATTGTTTGATTATTTACAAATATATTTCTAGGCCAGGCGAGGTGTCTCATGCCTGTAATCCCAACACTTTGGGAGGCTGAAACAGGAGGCTTGCTGGAGGCCAGGAGTTCAAGACCAGTCTGGGCAACACAGTGAGATCCTGCCTCTACAAAAAAAATAAAAAATATTAGCCAAGTGTGATGGCACATGCCTGTAGACCCAGCTGTTTGGAAAGCTGAGGCAGGAGGATTACCTGAGCCCAGGAGTTCGAGGCTGCAGTGAGCTATGATCACACCACTGCACTCCAACCTGGGAGACAAATGAGACCCTGTCTCAAAAAAAAAAAAAAAAAGAGAGCGAGAGAGAAGAAAAATTACATATATATTTCTAAACTTGCTCATTTCCCTCATCAACTGGATTCAAGGGACTTCCTGGTAAGAGTTTGAGGAGAATTAGGAGGCAGTTCCCCAGAGACAGCCTTGCAGACAGGAGGTTCTTTTCTCTGTAGGAGTTCACAATGGCCTCAATGGTAAGAGCTCTGCAACTGTGTTCCCAAGTTTGCTTGACTGAAGAGATGTGCTGGAAGAGTCGCCCTAACTTCTTGTTTCTGGTTTTACAGTATAAAAATCAGTGCCTTTTCATTTCCAAATACCTCATTGGCTTTTGTGCCTGGAGTGGGAATCAAAGCGCTAACCAACCATGGCACTGCCAACATCAGCACAGACTGGGGGTTCGAGTCTCCACTTTTGTGAGTATTCCACTGAAATGTCTGCAGCTGTTCTGGGAGAATGTGAGCAAAAACGGAAAATGTAGAAATTCACCAATGTTTTTGGCAATAGGCTTCTTTCCCTCATTATTAACAATCTTTCTCAAAAGCATTTTTTTCCAGGTGAGGCTTAAATTAGGAAATCCTACTGGGGGGTTTTGATGAAAAACATTCTTCTCTTAAAGGCAGAGCATATGATCAAATGTCATTTAAGATTCTCTTAAGAACTAGAAGTCCCTGACTATCAGAGAAACAGATGCATGCTCAACATTTTCGATCACCCACAAATCACTGCATGATCTTGAGCCAGCCATTCAACACACTTCCCCATCTGCAGGAGTAAGTGATGGGAAATGGAGTCTTTCTCCCTCACACAGAGGTTGAAGAATGGTAGTCAGCTTAAGCCTGAGCCCAACTGGAAGGCCTTTGCACCCTCGTGTAGAAGGAGGAAATCAGATTCAAGGTACTTTTACAGGCCAGTTGCAATGTGTAAATCACTGTTCTGGGTGTAATGTTTAGGTCTGCCTTGGTTGGTGCCACAGGATAACACATTCATTCTTCCACTAAGTCAGTCAACAACCATTTATTGAGTGCCTGCTGTGTAACATTTATCCCCATCTAAAGAACTCCAGTCTTGTAGATTGTAGAGAAATGACACGTTCCCCACAGCAACATAGATTCATGTATTCATTCATTTATTCAATGACTCATCAACCATATGCTGAGTACTTACTCTGTGTCAGGCCACATGCTAAGTCTTGGGGACATGGAAATGAGTAACACACAATCCACTCCCTCAAGGAGTTCACAGACTACATCTAAGCATCACTTTTTCATCTATGCCCTTCCTGAATAAAGTGTTGCCAGTCTTGCCCTTTCTTTTCTCTCCCCAAACAAACATTGTATATGAAGGGTGCTCAATACAAGCTCACTCGCTGCCAGGGCCAGAGCACTCAGGGTGAAATAATTAGAATATCCCAATAGCTGTTAGCTTTCACATATTCAGTACTTCGTCTGTTCTGGGAATATTCAATCAGCACCCACTCTGCTCCTACCTGTTGTAGGTGCAAGGAAGTCAGAGGTGAACATGACAAAGTCACTGCAGTCCAGGAGCTTAGAGTCTCTGGGTAATCAGAGAAACAAGATCCATCTCTGTGCCTGACTCAGGCTTGGATAACCTTGCACTTCTTTAAACAGCCAAGACACAGGAGGGGCTGATCTGTTTCTCTCCGGAGTCTACTTTACCGGTATCATTATCCTAACCCGAAATGACTTTGGTCATCCTACCCTGAAGCTCCAAGATTGCTACGCCCAACTGAGCCATGCCCACGTCTCATTTTCCGGAGAACTCAGGTGAATGAGAGCCCTGGGTTGGGCAGTGGCTAGTTAGGGGCTGGATACTCAGGCATCGCCTAGGGAAGGTTTACAAATGGCTGATTATGGTCTCTGAGTAACCTCTTTTTTTTTTTTTTTTTTTTTTCATTTTTTTCCTCAGTGTTCTGTATAACTCCTTTGCTGAGCCCATGGAGAAACCCATTTTAAAGAACTTAAATGAAATGGTGAGTCTTTAGAGGTTAGGCAACCACAGTAAAATGCCATTAGTAGAAGTTCTATCATCCTTTAATTAATTCTTTTTTGTTTGTTTGTTTGTTTTTTTGAGACAGAGTCTCGCTCTGTCGCCCAGGCTGGAGTGCAGTGGCACGATCTCCGCTCACTGCAAGCTCCGCCTCCTGGGTTCAAGGGATTCTCCTGCCTCAGCCTCCCAAGTAGCTGGGACTACAGGTGCCCGCCACCATGCCCGGCTAATTTTTTGTATTTTTAGTAGAGACGGGGTTTCACTGTGTTGGCCGGGATGGTCTTGATCTCCTGAACTCGTGATCCGCGCACCTTGGCCTCCCAAAGTGTTGGGATTACAGGCATGAGCCACCGCGCCTGGCCAATCCTTTAATTAATTCTTAATCAAGAAACCTTTATTGAGCATCTACTGTGTGCTAGGCACTATCCAAGGCACTTTCACACACATTAAATATCCTTTGCAACTTAATAACAGTTTCTCAAATCCCTACTATGTGCCAAATATTGTGGTAGGTGCTTGGGATGCAGAGATAAAGAAAGCAACAGCACATCTCTCAAATTTCTTACCATAGGGTGGGCAAACAACCAACAAGAATTTACTTATTATGTACCTATTGCATGCTCAGCTGCCATGGACTAGGATCTGTTGGGAATAGGACAGAGGGATACACTTGTGTATTCAAAAGCTCAAACTCGGGCTTGTGAAACAATAACTAACTGAGTACTTGAATTTAGTATACAGTTACACGATCATTAGATTGAGCAGGAGAGGTTCAGAGAAATGGAAAATTTTGAAGAAATAGGGCCTGGAAGTGTCCTGGGAGATAATTTTTACAGGATGCAGAACTTGAACTAGATCTTAACATATAGGTAGGATTTGTATATGTAAGGAATGAAGGATAAGAAGAGGTATTTCCAGGACATACAATAGGAATAAGTTAAGAAAATAGAATATATTAAGATCCTTTCCAAAGCTATAAGGCTTCTAGTCTCAGAAGTCAGTGTCTGAAGAAGGGAAAGATGGAATTGTCTATGCACTCTCTTTCCAATAATGACCACACCTTCCCTGAACCGTTTACCTGTATTTTGGGGGAGATAAGGACAGGGATGAGGAGGAATAGAAAAGAAGGAAGACTCTTCTGGAAAAGAAGGGACAAAGACAGGGTCTGGTCACGTCCATCTCTCTAGTGCTCAGCTCGGTGCTTGACAGACATTATAGGTGCTTAATGAAAGTCGTAAGGAAATCAACACTCAGAAGCATCAAGCAGCTCATCCCAGGAGGTGGCGCAGCTGTCCAGGACTCAGAAGCCTTATAGTCCTTCTCCATCCTTACCTGACAGATGCTGAGTGCCAATGAGTGTGCATATTAGAGTCCCTGGCAAAGTGCACTGTCATCCTCAAGGACCCCAAACTTGATCATTCCCCTGTTTGAAACGAGGCACGGTCCTTTTGCCTCTGACAGGAGGCCAGTGAAGAATGAGTTATGTCACAGAAGCCAATAATTAAGTTTGCCTGAAATTGATTTATGGCTTAAAGATAATAGATGTTTCTGTGATTCTCTCTGTGCCACTGGAAGATAGAAAAGAATGCTGAGACCACAGCTGTCTAGCTGTGTAAACTGAGTTCAAATCCCGGCTATGCAACACCTGGCAACTCACTTAACCTCTCTAAGCTTTGGTTTTCCCATCTGTAATTAGGGGACCGTCATGCCTCCCTCTCAAGGCTGTAGTGAAGGTGAAATGGAGTTAAACTAACAACGGCTAACACTTACTCAATGCTTACTATAAGCTGGGCAAGTTTACATGGATTACTTCCATTTCTACTCACAATGTGATGAGGTGGACACAATTATCATCCCCATGCAAATGTTGCAGATGTGGAAACTGAGATCAAAGAATACAAGTAACTTGCCAAGGGATTCAACCCTCGGCCCCAGGCAGCCAAGCCTGTGCTGTACCCACTATGCCAAGCACATCAATGAGCACACAAGAGGCACATCAGTGCTGATACCTCTGCCCCTTCCTAAAAATATTAATGTGACTCAAGACTAATTTTCAAATTCCAAAAAGGTGGCAACAAAATAGATCTCTAAGTAGATCTCTGATATAATGTGCTCTCCAACTAGCCCAGGGGGAAAGTAAAAGCTCTAGCTCTGGGGCCGGGCGCGGTGGCTCACGCCTGTAATCCCAGCACTTTGGGAGGCCGAGGCGGGTGAATCACGAGGTCAGGAGATCGAGACCATCCTGGCTAACACGGTGAAACCCCGTCTCTACTAAAAATACAAAAAATTAGCCGGGCATAGTGGCGAGCGCCTGTAGTCCCAGCTACGCAGGAGGCTGAGGCAGGAGAATGGCATGAACCAGGGAGGCGGAGCTTGCAGTGAGCCGAGATCGCGCCACTGCACTCCAGCCTGGGTGACAGAGCGAGACTTCGTCTCAAAAAAAAAAAAAAAAAAAGCTCCAGCTCTAACCATTCCAGGTAGGGCATGCAACCGCTCCTAGAGGAGATGGCAAGCTGGCGGCACCCCCAGCAGTCAGGAAAGATACAGCAGCTCCAGCAGCAGGTTCCTCGGGTATAACAGCATGGACTGGGACGCATGCCCTATCATGTCACAGAAAGAAACGACAAGGGCTCACTCACTCTTTACAGGGCTGATTGGATGTAGTGCTAGTTGCTACAAAGTTCAGCTGGCATTCAGTGACATACCACCCGTATCTACGTAAAGCGAGGCCCATAGACATCAACAAATTTAAGAGAATGTCTCGATGACCAAAGGGATAATGACTGCTAACCAGAAGGCCTTTGTTTGCAGGGTCTAGGCCCATCAATAAGGCTTTCCAGTACAACATGGTAACTTGCTTTTTTCTTTTTATTCCTTTGTGGCCAGCTCTGTCCCATTATTGCAAGTGAAGTCAAAGCGCTAAATGCCAACCTCAGCACACTGGAGGGTGAGTCTTAGAACTGTCTTTTCCAGATGGTTGTCTTCCTACCTTCAAAAGCTGGTACTGCCTGGGTTTGCTTTTCAAGGCGGTATAGCTTGAGCTATCCATCCTGCTTCATATTCTGCAAATTAGAGCCCCGGGAAGGTGCTTGGGAGGATGTGCCTTGTGCTTAGGGCATATGTACTCTTTGGCTAATAACTAACTTCACTGCCACAAGAGGGGTGGCTCCAGGGGGATGAGATGTAGGTTCAGGAACTAAACCCTCACGAGCACGAACCCAAGCAGTGACATTACATCCCTTCTCTTCAGAGGGATTAACACTGATCTTGACCAGGTTATTCTGGGGTTCTCAGCCTGCAGTGGCTGCCCTGAGCATCAAGTCCTCGCACCTTAGCATGGACTACAAGATTCACCACACCCCATCTCCTACTTACCTCTCTCTGCTTCATCTTTCTCTTTACCTTTCTCTGCCCCAGCAATCAAACTGTTTCCACTGCCCTCCTCACCCCTTGCCTTTGCTTTTGCTGTTTTCTCTGCCTGGAAGAGCTTCCTCTCTCCTCCATCCTTTCATTCCTTTAACCCAGGAGTCCCCAGTCCCTGGGCCACAGACAGGTTAGAAACTGGACTGCACAGCCGGAGGTGAACAGTGGGCAGGCGACTGAGCATTACTGCCTGAGCTCTGCCTCCTGTCAGATCAGTGGCAGCATTAGATTCTCATAGGAGTGCGAACCCTATTGTGAACCGTGCATGCGAGGGATCTAGGTTGCATGTGCCTTATGGGAATCTAATGCCTGATGATCTGAGGTGAAACAGTTTCATCCCGAAACCATCCCCCCCAACCCCAGGCCATGGAAAAATCATCTTCCATTAAACTGGTCCCTGGTGCTAAAAAGGTTGAGGACCGCTGCTTTAACAGATACATATTGAGTGCCCATTTCTAAACCTGCAGAGTTTAGCCAGCACTGTGCTAAACCCTGGAGGATTTAATCCTTTCCGTTCTCTATCTCTCTTTATATGTTGTGTTCCCTCCTCTTTATATTTAAGACCCAGCTCAGACATAGCCTCTTCCAGGAAACCTTACCTGACAGCCCCCACTCCGTAAAGTTATGCCTCCTCTGTGCTCACATGACACTTTGGACATCTCTCTCTCACTTTGCACTCCATCCATTCATTCACCAATGGCGCGCTGAGCACCTGAAATAGCCTGAGCACTGTTCTTGGTGCTGGGGATGCAGCAGTATTCCCAGGCAACAGACATACCTGCCGTCATGGGAGTAGTGGGAGGAGACAGACAGCAAGCAAGATAAACAAGTAAAATCTAAGTTATGGCAGTGATAAGTGGTAAGAAGAAAAATAAAGCAGTGGAGGAGGTGGAGAGGAATTTCCATTCTAGATAGAGTGACCAGGAAAGCCACCACTGAGCAGGTGGCATTACTAGAAAAACCCAAAGGGAGTAGAAAGTGAGCTGCTGCTCAATCTAGATGAAGATTCCAGATCGAGGAAACTGCAGGCACAAAAACCCTGAGGCTGAATATCTCAAGTGTGCTGGGGAGGCTGTGAGAAGGACACACTAGGAGCAGGGGGTTGGGGGAGAGCAGGCAATGAGGCCAGAGATGGGGAAGAGGGGATGGTTTGATCTTCAGGGATGTGTAGGGACTGCAAAGTCCACCTCTTAATCTAAGATGGGATGCCTTTGAAGAGTAAGGCCGGCATGACTTAACTTACAGTTTAAGGAGATCGGTCTGGCTTCTGTGCTAAAAAAAATAGACAGGAAGGAAGGGGGTCAAGGGCAAAAGCAAAGAGACTACTTAAGAGATGAGTGCAGTGACCCATACAATTAATGATGGTGGCCGGCCTAGGGTGGGGTGATGAAGATGGTAAGGCATGTTGGGATTCTGGATGTACCTTGAAGGTCAAGACAGTGGTTTTTGTGCAACAGATCAAATGTAGGTCAGGAGAAGAGTGAAGGGTGACTTTGGTGGGTAAAACCCTAAGCAATTGGAAAATTGGAAGAAGGGATTTAGCATTTATTGAGATGGGAAAGAACCTAAGAACAAGTTTGTAGCAGGATCATCAGGAGCCCAGTTTAGATCAGCCTTTGCTGTGTTGTATTATAATTTCCTGTTGATATATCTGTCTACTCCCCAAGACTATGAGTTCCTTGGGTGCAGGAACTTTGACTCACCGCTGTGCCCCCAGCGTCAGGCACAGCACCTAGCCCATTAGATTAAGAAATATCAGGCGCAGTGGCTCACTCCTGTAATCCTAGCACTTTGGGAGGCCAAGGTGGGAGGATTGCTTGAGGTCAGGAGTTCAAGACCTGCCTAGGCAACATAGTGAGACCTTGTTTCTATATAAAAAAAATTTTTTTTTAATTAGCCAGGCATGGTGGCGTGCGCCTTTAGTCCCAGCTACAGGGAGGCTGAGGTAGGAGGATTACTTGAGCCCAGGAGGTTGAGGCTGCAGTGAGCCAAGATCATGCAGTGAGCCAAGATCCAGTCTAGGTGACAAAGTGAGATCTTGTCTCAAAAAATATATATATTAGACTGATAAATGGATGCAGATGGATGAAAGAAAATGAATGGATTGGAGATGTAGGGAAGGAAAACAAGATGTAGTGAGGAAAGAAGTAGCCAAGGATCACCATGTTCTAGCTTTCCTTGAGCAAGTTCCTTTACCTCTGAGCCTCACTCACCACATCTGTGAAATGATTGCTGTCCCTCAGAGTAACAACTTGAAAGTATTTTAAAAACTGTGGCAATGGCCAGGCACAGTGGCCCACACCTGTAATCCCAGCACTTTGGGAAGCTGAGGCGAGCAACTCGCTTGAGGTCAGGAGTTCAAGACCAGCCTGGCCAACAGGGTGAAATGCTGTCTCTACTAAAAATACAAAAATTAGCCAGAGGTGGTGGCGCAGGCCTGTAATCCCAGCTACTTGGGTGGCTGAGTCAGGAGAATCACTTGAACCCGAGAGACAGAGGTTGCAATGAGCCAAGATTGTGCCACTGCACTCCAGCCTGGGTGACAGAGCAAGACTCTGTCTCAAAAAAAAAAGTGAAAAATAAAAAATAAAAACTATGGTGGCTTAGGATAATATTATTCCTTTATCTTAGCAAGATACTTCATCTCTTCTTGCTTTTCATCTCCATCTATGACATGCAAGAAAAGAGAAGACATGATGCTCAGGTAACTTTCTCTAGAACAGGGAGTAGGTCTTCATATTGTAGAACACATAATGGTGGTCAGGAAAGCAGCTCTCCAAAGCCGAGTGGGAAACCTGAGCCCTGAGTCACTGCACATACAACTAGCTTCAGAGACTAAAATCTGTGCTTTCATTTATTTTTTTTTTTTTAGACGGAGTTTCGCTCTTGTTACCCAGGCTGGAGTGCAATGGCACAATCTTGGCTCACCGCAACCTGCGCCTCCTGGGTTCAAGAGATTCTCCTGCCTCAGCCTCCCAAGTAGCTGGGATTACAGGCGCGTGCCACCACACCTTGCTAATTTTGTATTTTTAGTAGAGATGGGGTTTCTCCGTGTTGGTCAGGCTGGTCTCAAACTCCTGACCTCAGGTGATCCGCCCACCTCAGCCTCCCAAAGTGCTGGGATTACAGGCGTGACCCACCACACCCAGCCCAATCTGTGCTTTCTGGAACTTCACCCACCACTGCACCCTGGTCCCCTTGACTTCTGCTTTATTCTGAAAATGATAATACATAAAATTATTTGGATTAGCAGCACTGTGCCTAAGAATCTCCTTGGCCTCTCCAATTTAGTGGACTTTATTTTCTCTCACACAATCTGTTTCTAAAAATATTTCTAATGACAACAGTAAAGCATACTCCTTGTTAAAAAAAAAAAAGTTCTAACTGCAATTTATAACATCAAACTGAAGAGTCTTTCATTATACCAAGCCAATACATATCTCTAAATATTGATATGAGTTTTGTGTTTGTACTAATTTCCTTTTTAAAAAATAACTATATAGGGCTGGGTGTGGTGGCTCACTCCTGTAATCCCCGTACTTTGGGAGGCCAAGGTGGGTGGATGACTTGAGGTCAGGAGTTCGAAGCCAGCCTGGCCAACATGGTGAAACGCTGTCTCTACTAAAAATACAAAAATTAGCCATGTGTGGTGGTGGGTGCCTGTAATCTCAGCTACTAGGAAGGCTGAGGCATGAAAATTGCTTGAACCCAGGAGGCAGAGGTTGCAGTGAGCTGAGATTGTACCACTGCACTCCAGTCAGGGTGATAGAGTGAGACTTTGTCTCAAAAAAAACAAAAAACAAAAAACAAAACTATACATGCATTTTGTGTGTTTGTATGTGTGTATACCTAAAAAGATATACAGTAGTCCTCCCTTATCTGCAGTTTTGCCTTCTGCAGTTTCAGTTATCCGTGGTCAACCGTGGTTTAAAAATATTTAATATCTCAATGTGAATTTGAGAGAGAGAGAGAGAGACCACATTCACATTCACATTCACATTCCTTTTATTACAGTGTATGTAGGGGTTGGTACTGTCCACACTTTCAGGCATCCACTGGGGTCTTGGAACATATGCCCTGCAGATAAGGGGGACCACTGCACACCAAAATTTTAGTGATGCTTCTCTCAGAGTAATACACTTGGAAAAAATGTTCACTTTCTTCTTTTGATTTATCTACTTTTCCTGGGTTTTCAAAAGATAACATGTATTACTTCTGAAAAGCAGGAATTGATCTTTTAAACAGAGAATTTAAAATTATATTGTTCTAGATAGACATCATTCATATATTATACTATGCCTTTAATGAATATGGATTTTCTTTTTTCTTTGTTGGTTATTTAGTTTTAACCAAGATTGACAACTACACTCTGCTGGATTACTCCCTAATCAGTTCTCCAGAAATTACTGAGAACTACCTTGACCTGAACTTGAAGGTAACTTTATCATCATCAGAATCCTCAGCCTGGCTGTCAACAGCCAATATTTAGAAAACAATGATTATGGACTGGGCACGGTGCCTCACACCTGTAATCCCAGCACTTTGGGAGGCCCAGGCAGGTGGATCACTTGAGGCCAGGAGTTTGAGACCAGGCTGGCCAACATGGTGAAACCCCGTCTCTACTAAAAACACAAAAAATTAGCCAGTGTGGTGGCACACAGCTGCATTCCCAGCTGTTTGGGAAGCTGAGGCAGGAGAATTGCTTGAACCTGGAAGGCAGAGGTTGCAGTGAGCCGAGATCATACCACTGCATTCCAGCCTGGGTGACAGAGCAAGACTCTATCTCAAAAAAACAAAACAAAATGAAAACAAAAACAAAAACAAAAAACAATGATTCTGTACAGAAGGAAATCTATATACATGCTCTTGGAATAATTTAATTTTCTTTCAAGCAACTGCCTCATGTTTACACCTTTTCAAAAGACTCTTGAACGTTTTATTGATAAGCAAATGATTGTATTGTACAACATATGTCTGCCCTCTTCAGGAGAAGGATCATATGTCTTTGCCCCTAGGAGTAGGTTTGAGGCTAGGAGGCAGCAAGTAGAGCAGTCTGCATTTATTGGAACTAAACACATCAGTAGCTGGTACACGTTGGCACTTCCATTCCTAAGTGTTCAGGTTAGTGGATTTAACTGAGGGCTGCTGACCTCTGTCAGGGCCATAAGCACGTGGCATTAGTGTTCACTGATCATGGAAAAACAATCATTGTGGTTATGTTTCATTTTGCCCCAAAGCTAATATCATTGTCTTTTAAAATGCATATTGGCTCATATTTCACTCACCAGAGTCTTTCAACTCAGTTCAGTGTTGGACAAGACAATATTTTGTAATAACGCCCTATAGCTAATGAGAGCAGTGCTAGAAATGCTACAAAAATGCCTTAAACCATTTGGAGTCTTGGGTCTTCTTTCTATGATTCCCCAGGTACTCAGCAGACACAGATTTTGAAGGTCAAGTGTTTGACACCACTACATGGCACCTCAGGAAGTGCTTTTACTCAGAGTTGTCCTTCCAGCTAAATACACCTCCTTCTTTGTCTTAGAAAAGTTCAAACAAGGGTTCTCATTGGGTTACACCCTGGGGTGAAACAGACACACCTAAATATGCTCAAGAATCCTAAGAGCTTTGAAAAATAGTCACTGGTCAAGGAGTCAGAAAGCCTTAACAGTTTTTCATCATTACTGAGTTTCTAGGATTCTTCTTCTTCTTCTTCTTCCTCTTCTTTTTCTTCTTCTTCTTATGCTTCTTCTTCTCCTTCTCCTTCTCCTTCTCCTTCTTTTCCCTCCTCCTCCTCCTCTTCCTCCTCCTCCTCTTCCTCCTCCTCCTCCTCCTCCTCCTCCTCCTCTTCCTCTTCTTTCTTCTTCTTCTTCTTCCTCTTCCTCTTCTTCTTTTGGACAAGGTCCCCCTCTGTCACCCAGGCTGGAGGCTGAAGTGCAGTGGCACAGTCACAATTCACTGCAGCTTCAACCTCCCTGGTTCAAGGGATTCACCTCACTCAGCCTCCCAAGTAGCCGGAACTACAGGTACGCGCCACCACACCTGGCTAATTTTTGTATTTTTTATAGAAACGGGGCCTGCCATGTTGCCCAGGTTGATCATGGAAAAACAGTCATTCAATCAATTCAAACTCCAGTGTTCCAGTGATTCACCCGCCTCAGCCTCCCAAAGTGTTGGGATTATAGGCGTGAGCCACCACACCTGGCCCGAGCTTCTGGAATTCTTATTCTGACTTCAGAGGGTCCATCTTCTTAGTCTTCTTAGAATTTGAGTTTTCACCTGATACACTGGTCTTTCTCTCTCTTTTCCCACAGGGTGTATTCTACCCACTGGAAAACCTCACCGACCCCCCCTTCTCACCAGTTCCTTTTGTGCTCCCAGAACGCAGCAACTCCATGCTCTACATTGGAATCGCCGAGTATTTCTTTAAATCTGCGTCCTTTGCTCATTTCACAGCTGGGGTTTTCAATGTCACTCTCTCCACCGAAGAGGTGAGGAGAGTTAACTGAGGATGTCAATGGTCACCATCATTCAGCCTTTTTATAAGTATCCTATTGTAGAACTTTTATGCCACAATTTCGATTCTGGGACCTTTTTAGGCTATCACTCCCAGCAAGACAGTGAAGGAATGAGGGAATTGTGGAGTGAACATTGTTACGGGTTGAGCATCCCTTATCCAAAATGCTTGGGACCAGAAGTGTTCTGGATTTCGGATTTTGTCAGATTTTGGGATATTTGCATTATATATACTTACCGGTTGAGCAGCCCTAATCTGAAAATCCAAAATCTAAAATGCTCCAATAAGCATTTCCGTTGTGTATCATGTCAGCATTTAATAGTTGGATTTTGGGGCACTTTGAATTTTGGATATTCAGATTAGGAATGTTCAACCTGTATTAGTTGGGGAGTTGTCAAGTTTCCAGTTCTGCTAATACCTCACCACTCACCACTGTTCTAGATTAATCTCCAATAATAGCAAGATCCCTTTCCATCATGTATTGCCTGTGACCTTAGAGGTAATTTCAATTTATATAACTTCTGTGGGCCAGAATTTCTTCATCTGGAAAAGGCAGATAATAATAGTTCCTTACTCATAGAGTTTATATGGGCATTAAAAGATTTAAATACATGTCAAGCATTCAGACCAATCCCCAACACAGAATAAGTGCGATATAACTGTTGCTTATCATCATTGTCATCATTATTCCCTGTATTATGCTGACGTAAAGTTATCCTGGTTGTAATTACAGCTGGTTTATCTACAATGATCAGTAATAATACAGATATTCATTGATCCTCTGTCATGCACCTCCCTTTTATAATGACAGCACTGTCTCTAGCCAGTCAACCAAAAACTTTTATTGAGCATCTCTTTTTGAATCTCCTCATTCTATATGTTTTAATTATATAAGTAGGTATAAAGCTTATGTTCAGAATGGTAAGTATGGCAGCAGTGGCTATCTTACGATACTGAGAATTAGACACTTCTAGCTGCAGACTTCAAAATCATTTATCTCTGAAGGTAAATTCCTTAAGCATCCAGTATCTCAGTAATCCCTAAAAGTGAGGACAGTAACACAAGGCTTATCGTTAATGACTGTAGAATATGTATACATAGATAGATTGTAATATATATAAGTGAAGAATATGTACACATAGATTGTAATATATATATAAATAAAGACTATGTACATATAGATTGTAATATATATAAATGAAGAATATGTACACATAGATGTAATATATATAAATAATATGTATACATAGATTGTAATATATATAAAGAATATGTACACATAGATTGTAATATATATAAATAAAGAATATGTACACATAGATTGTAATATATATAAATGAAGAATATGTACACAGAGTGTAATATATATATAAAGACTATGTACATATAGAGTGTAATATATAAATGAAGAATATGTACACATAGATTGTAATATATATAAATAAAGAATATGTACACATTAGATTGTAATATACATAAATAAAGAATATGTACACATAGATAGATTGTAATATATATATAAAGAATATGTACACATAGATAGGTTGTAATATATAAAAATAAAGAATATGTACATATAGATATATATATATATAACTAAAACTTTGTTGTACTACATACGTACAATTCATGTGTAAACATTCTACAGTTATTAACAATAGACTGTATTGTTCCCAGAGTTAAAAGAAATATAACATCCTGTGTGACCTTGGGCAAGTCACTTTACTTCTCTGAGCCTCGGATTCCCTATGATTGGGCTATAAAATGATAGGTCACCTTTAAACACTGAATATTTTATGGTGTAACAGCTTCACAATTCGTCAAATTATAGGGAACACTACATTTTCCCTGAAAAGACAATCCACGTAAAATCCTAACAGTGACATAATGGGCTTTATTTTCCAGATTTCCAACCATTTTGTTCAAAACTCTCAAGGCCTTGGCAACGTGCTCTCCCGGGTAAGTGCTCAGGGTTTGAGTCTTGATAGTGTATTTGGCTCCATTGCAATTACTTCTGGAAGACTTGTGGGTTCTACGTATTCCTTTTTGGATAAGTCCCTCTGTCTATTATTGGGAGTTTTTTCTCGTAATCGAATATCTACAAATATTTACTGAACAGTACAGTTTAAAGTGCAATTAACATACAAGTGAGAGTATAATTGTAAGTTCACAAAATAAATCACCGTGCCTTCCACAATATTCCATCATACTTGAAATAATTAGTTTAAATAAAGGATTTATTAGTGGAAATGAAGGATTCAATTCTTAAATGAAGGATTAGTGCCCACACTTGTAACTGTAGTAAAAAGCAACTGTTAATATTGTGCCTTCGTAGCACACTAAGTATTGAACATAATGAACCTACGGGCTAGGGATTGCCCTTGAGGACAAAGAGATGTTCATGTAGCATCCTGGTTCTAGAGCAAGGATCTTGAGTCAGATAGACCTAGATTTGTTTTTGTTTGTTTGTTTTTTGAGACAGGGTCTCGCTCTGTCATCCAGGCTGGAGTGCAGTGGCACGATCTTGGCTCACTGCAATATCCGCCTCCCCTGCTCAAGTGATCCTCCCAACTCAGCCTCCCAAGTAGCTGGGACTACAGGCACAAGCCACTATGCCCAGCTAATTTTTCTATTTTTTGTAGAGGCAGGATTTCTCCATGTTGCCCTGGCTGGTTTCAAACTCCTGGCTTCAAGTGATCCACCGATCTCAGCCTCCCAACGTGCTAGGATTACAGGCATGAGCCACTGTGCCCAGCCCAGACCTAGATTTGAATCCCAATTCTACCACTTATTCCCCTAGAACCTTGAGAACATCATTTAACCTCTGTAAGACTCACGTTCTCCACTATGAAACAGGGATGCTGATAGAATCTGCCTCACAGGGATTTTCTGAAGATTAAATGTGATAATATATAAAGCCCCTGGCACAGTGGGTAGTATCAAGTATTATGTTCAGTAACTGCCAACTGTTATCATCGTTTGATTTTTGTGTGTAATTATGATTATTAAAGAGCTTTTTTTCTATTCTAACTGCACAATGTAAGATTTAGTCACCACAGGCCATCCTAACCTTGTGATCTCCCTTCACCAACTCACGCCTCACAATCTTTATTTCTTTCTCGGAATGTGGGCAGATTGCAGAGATCTACATCTTGTCCCAGCCCTTCATGGTGAGGATCATGGCCACAGAGCCTCCCATAATCAATCTACAACCAGGCAATTTCACCCTGGACATCCCTGCCTCCATCATGATGCTCACCCAACCCAAGAACTCCACAGTTGAAACCATCGTTTCCATGGACTTCGTAAGTCTGGGGAGACAGTGGAGCAGCCTGTAGATGCCAATCCTGCTCCTGCTGTGGACTGTTGGCCAGCAGCTTTTAAACGTTTGAAGAGGGTGGGGATGCTACATTGATTAAGAGTGAGGATGGAGGCTGGACGTGATGGCTCATGCCTATAATTCCAGTGTCTTGGGAGGCTGAAGCAGGAAGATTGCTTGAGGCCAGGAGTTAGAGACCAGCCTGGGTAACATAGCAAGACCTCATCTCTCCAAAAAAAAAAAAATTGTTTGAATTAGCCAGGTGTGGTGGTGTTGTGCACCTGTCATCCTAGCTACTCAGGAGGCTGAGGTGGAAGTGTTGCTCTGAACCCAGGAGTTTGAGGCTACAGTGAGCTATGATTGCACCACTGCACTCCAGTCTGGGCAACAGGGTAAGACCCTGTCTCAGTGAGGTCAGAGTTGAGGGAAGGGTATGTGTGGCAGGATGGGAGGTAAGCACTCACACTCTCATACATTGTAAAATCTCTCCAGTCTCTACTTCATGCACGCTCTTCCCACCACCTACCTCAGTTACATGGACAGCTGGAATTCTCTCTTTTTTTTTAATCTAAATAAGTCAATCAAGGTAGAATTCATTTTTACTTGAGCAAATGAAGGCCAAATGCAATCTGATAGAAGGACATAATAAACCTAACAAAAATGTCATACGCACATAGGCACATACACACACATACATAAAGAAGAGCGATTAGGAGAAAAAAAAAATTCAAAGGAGATCATCAAACAAAAAGTCTTTGCAGGTAGCTTCCCTAACTACAAGACAGGATTTTCAGAGGTCTGTATTTCCAATGTCTTTTAGACTTCCAATGTCTTTACACTAAGGGGGAATGTTGGGCTTATAATGTTTCAACTATTGGAAATTATACTGATGGCCAAAATTGACACTCACTCGTCTTAATAATAAATGCTTTTATTGTCTATAGGTTGCTAGTACCAGTGTTGGCCTGGTTATTTTGGGACAAAGACTGGTCTGCTCCTTGTCTCTGAACAGGTAAGATCAATCAATTTGACTGTTGGGGCACCTTAGTAATAAGTGAGTCAACTGATCAGAGACAAAGTGACCATTAAGAAAACAAGTGATCTGTAATCTCAGCTACTCAGGAGGCTGAGGCAGGAGAATCGCTTGAACCCGGGAGGCAGAGGTTGCAGTAAGCCAAGATCACACCACTGCACTCCAGCCTGGGTGACAGTGAGACTCTGTCTCAAAAAAAAAAAAAAAGGGACGTTAACCATTGTGTGAACATGAGTCAGTTAAGCACCTCTCCTGTAATGGGCCAGATAACTTTAAAGTATGTACTTTACTAAAAATGGTACTGTCAAGCTTTTCTTTTTTCCATTATAGTAACATAAAAATAAAATAGGGAACAAAATAATTATAAATATAATTTTGTAATATGGTCAGGTGCCATCTTACAGGCTCTCACCTGTAATCCCAGCAATTTGGGAGTGGGAGGATTGCTTGAGGCCAGGAGTTTGAGCCCAGCCTGGGCAACAAAGTGAGACCTCATCTCTACAAAAGCTTTTTTAAAAATTAGCTAGGCGTGGTGTGCACCGCTGTAATCCCAACTACTCAGGAAGCTGAGAGGGAAGAATTGCTTGAGCCCAGGAGTTTGAGATTACAGTGAGCTATGATCGTGCCACTGCACTCCAACCTGAGCAATAGAATGAGACCTTGTCTCTCAAAAAAATATATCTCTCTCACATATTTTATATTATATATTTTATATACATATACAAATTAAATACATAAAATATTACATATGTAATAAATATATTTTTATATTTATATAAAACATTTTATAAAATATATTATGTTTTATATATTATATTTATTTCCTATATTTTATTTTTATTTATTTTATATAAACATACAAAGAATATATATATAATTCTGTAATAGAAGTGTACATTCTAATGGTACAGCAATATAAACTTCAGTTCTTCTTTATCAAATTCATAGAGCATGCTAGTGAGGAAAGAGCATAAAGCTTTGGGAGTTAAGGAACCAAGTTTCCAGTCCTTATTCACAGGCTCTATGACTGTGATCCAGTCTGTTAACCTCCTTGAGCCTCAGTTTCCTTATCTGCAAATAAGGAAGTTGAACTGGATCATGCCTAAGGTACCTTCAGACTCTGACCATCTGATCCCATTACTAGAACAGAGAAGTTAACAAGATCTTCCCCATGGCCTGTCTGACTGTCAAATGCATGTGACACACGGTGAAAGGCCATGTGCAGGCCACAGACGCAGATCATTGACCACTAAGTGCCATTCGGCAGAACCGTCTGCAAAGCCCATTTTCCTCAGCCCTATAAAGCTGGTAGTTGAAGTCATCCATCAGACTACCTGGGGGGAGAATTTACAGAAAGATTAGACGGCATAGACTAAATGTATGGAAGAAAAGGAAGCAATGAAACAGACGTAAGCAGAGTCAGAAAAGATCTGAGAAACCAGCAGAGGGGGAGTAAATCAATCACAAGTCAACGTGGTAGTTATGAAGTCTATTGTGGAAACATGGAAAATGGCCAGGCGCGGTCGCTCACACCTGTAATCCCAGCACTTTGGGAGGACGAGACAAGTAGATGATGAGGTCAGGAGTTCGAGACCAGCCTGGCCAACATAGTGAAACCCCATCTCTACTAAAAATACAAAAATTAGCCGGGCATGGTAGCATGTGCCTGTAATCCCAGCTACTCGGGAGCCTGAGACAGAAGAATTGCTTGAAGCCGGGAGGTGGAGGTTGTGGTGAGCAGAGATTGCGCCACTGCACTCCAGCCTGGGCAACAGAGCGGGACTTCATGAAAAAAAAAAAAAAAAAAAAAAAAAAACAAAGGCCAGTTGCCATGGCTCACGCCTGTAATCCCAGCACTTTGGGAGGCTGAGGCGAGCGGATCATGAGGTCAGGAGATCGAGACCATCCTGGCTAACATGGTGAAACCCCGTCTCTACTGAAAATGCAAAAAATTAGCTGGGCGTGGTGGCGGGCGCCTGTAGCTCCAGCTGCTTGGGAGGCTGAGGCAAGACAATGGCGTGAACTCGGGAGGCCGAGCTTGCAGTGAGCCGAGATGGCGCCACTGCACTCCAGCCTGGGGGACAGAGCGAGACTCCATCTCAGAAAAAAAAAAGAAAAAGAAAAAAAGAAAAGAAACATGGAAAATGTTTTCAAGAAAATTATGTTAAATGGAAAAAACAGAATACAAAACTGCACAAACACAACAGCTGTTAATTGTATAAAATAGCTTTGCATCTGGAAGAGGAAAATAGCTTTGCATCCGGAAGAGGAAAATAGCTTTGCATCTGGACAAGGAAGTGAATCACAAAACTGAAAATGAAGAGTTGTATTAGGATATGGGATTATGAGAGGGTTCTTTTTTCATTAAAATTTTCTTTGTAAGTATATTGTTTTTCCAACAAAGGGAATATAATTTTGTTTTTTTTTGAGATGGAGTGTTACTCTGTCACCCAGGCTGGAGTGCAGGGGTGCGATCTCGGCTCACTACAACCTCCGCCTCCCGGGTTCAAGTGATTCTCCTGCCTCAGCCCGCCAAGTAGCTGGGATTACAGGCGCCTGCCACCACACCTGGCTAATTTTTGTATTTTTTAGTAGAGATGGGGTTTCACCATGTTGGCCAGGCTGGTCTCAAACTCCTGACCTCAGGCGATCTGGGGCCTCGGCCTCCCAAAGTGCTGGGATTACAGGCGTGAGCCACCATGCCCAGAAATACAATGTTTTGTTTGTTTGTTTGTTTGTTTAAAGTAGTATGGTTTCCCAGAAAGAAAAGGTTTTACGAAGGTTTACTCGCATTTACCAAGCCCTTCAAAGCAGTCCTGACTTCTTCATTAGCTTCCTTTAGGCACAATAGGCACAGTGCCTAGAGCCACAATACTTTAAAAGCCCATGAGAGGCCGGGCAGGGTGGCACACACCTGTAATCCCAGCACTTTGGGAGGCCAAGGTGAATGGATTGCCTGAGCCCAAGAAGTCGAGGCTGCAGTGAGCTATGATCTCAATCTGGGCGACAGAGCAAGACCCTGTCCAAAAGCACACACACACACACACACGCGCGCGCACACACACACACACACACGTTTTAATGTATTTTAAAATAATAATTTTTAAAAATGAATACAATTTAGACTTGATCATACTTATCTTTATATCAAATAGTTATAAAATATAATTTTCATTTTTTTTAACAGAAGAAAGGTCCCCAAAGACAAAAGTGCCTCAGGCCTCCAGAAGTCATGAGGTGACCCCATTTCCAGGGAATCAGGCTGATGAAACTCTGAACCATGAAGAGTGATCTTTATCTGGCAGTTCTTTTTTGTTTTGTTTTGTTCTGTTTTGTTTTGAGACAGAATCTCGCTCTGTCACCCAGGCTGGAGTGCAGTGGCACGATCTGGGCTTACTGCAACCTCTGCCTCCCAGGTTCAAGTGATTCTCCTGCCTCAGCCTCCTGAGCAGGTGGGACTACAGGCGCACGCCACCACGCCCAGCTAATTTTTGTAGTTTTAGTAGAGACGGGGTTTCACCATGTTGGCCAGGATGGTCTTGATCTTTTGACCTCGTGATCAACCCACCTTGGCCTCCCAAAGTGCTGGGATTACAGGTGTGATATTTGGCAGTTCTAATACAGAGGATGAAAGCCAGAGAGCATGAGGGTGAGGGGGGAAGGAACCAAAGGTGAGAAATTGGCAGCATCTGAGATCGGCCACGAGCGGAAGGAAGGAGAGAATCTGGATAGCATTGCCTGAGCATCGGGACCGTGATGCTCAGTCTGTTGGGAAACAAAGAGGAAAGAACCAGGAGGAAAGGAAAGGCTGGAAATGGGGAGTGATGCGGGGCGGGGCACAGGGGCAGGGCTGCTAACTGAGGCAGAAGGTTCCTAGAGAAGGTAGAAACAACACTTGCATCTGAGCAGGTGTCTGGTTTACTGGCAGGATCTCAAGGAAGAATTTAATCATGATTCAACTTCAGGGTTGTGGCAAGAAGGTGCAAAAGACTTTAAGAAGCATGGAGACCAGGTTCACTTTTCTGCTTAAATCAAACTGAGCCTTATCTCTAATGTTTCTATAATACTAGTAAGCAACAGCACGTTCAATGGCTGTTATGTTTATTTATGGGAGTAATAGAAAAAACTGTTTTAAGCCGATAAATTTACATCATCCCGGAAATGTGTGAATTCATTCTCTTGGCTTCCTACAGTCCACAGAGTTCTTTGACCTCATGAACATGAACCCTGAAATTAGGACCTCTGGCTTGTTGTCTGTTGCCCAGCAGTCTCCTGGAAATTCTCCGCTGGGCAGACTTCTGGTGCTCTGATGCCTTAGCTGGGTCTGAGCAGGGCTGGCTACATAATTTGCAGGGCCCACTGCAAAATGAAAATGCAGAGCCTCTTTTCAAAAGGATTAAGAATTTCTTTTTTCTTTCTTTCTTTTTTTTTTTTCAGACAGAGTCTTGCTCTGTTGCCAGGGCTGGAGTGCAGTGGCACGATCTTGGTTCACTGGAGCTTCTGCACCCCGGGTTCCAGTGATCCTCCTGCCTCAGCCTCCTGGGTAGCTGGGATTACAGGCGTGTGCCACCACACATGGCTGATTTTTGTATTTTTAGTAGAGACGGGGTTTCGCCATGTTGGCCAGGCTGGTCTCGAACTCCTGACCTCAGGTGATCCACCCGCCTCGGCCTCCCAAAGTGCTGGGATTACAGGCGTGAGCCACCGTGCCTGGTCAAGAATTTTAAGATAGAGATGGCAAGGCATTAAACCAAGCACAGGGGGCTTCTAAGCACAAGTGAGGGTGTCTCCTGCATGGGGTGTTATAGCAAACCTCAGGCAGTGAGCAGGCTGGGGGCAAGGCAGGTGGGCTGGGCCTCACTCAGGTTTAAAGCAGCCAAACCAGGAGGCAAGACTTTGCAGAGGAGCCAAGGCTGTGTTGAAATGACAGCCCTGGGCTCTGGCAGTAGGATCCCTAGCCCTGCCTCCCATGCAGGCTGCCCCAGCTGGCTCCTCCACTCCTGGGCTCCCCAGGCTTTTCAAGATGAGCTGGTTTGGTCTTGGGTGATATCAGAGAGATGCAGCAGGAAAAGGATCAAGTGGGTGGAGATCAGTGGAACATCCCTGAGAAGAACCAGGGAACACGGGGGCTCCAAATTACTCTCCCCAGAACAACATGGCCTCTCTAACTATCCCCTGCCTGAATGTGCCTCTTCCTGGAGCTGCTCGGGGCTGGCTGCATAGACAGCAAATACAGAAATCAGAGACAAACCCCGTGTTGGTGGTCTAGACAGACTGTAGGATCACAGGCTTTGGAGTCAGACTAGCTGGTCTGGTTCTGATCCCAGTGCTGCCACTAATTAGCTCTGGCATCTCAGGCGAGTTTCTTAACCTCTCTTGGACTCCATTTCCTCCTCTGTAAAATGGTGTAATAAAGACTACTTCAGGAGAAGGTTGTGAGAAGTATGAGAGTTAATACAGGTAAAGTGTGTGGTTGCCATTCAATAGCTCTGTGATCTTGGGTGTAAGTTATTTAATCTCCATAAAGCATAAAACGGGAATAATAGTACCTACCTCCAGGACCATTCATTTAATCTATTGACCATTATTGTGCACTGTTCCAGGCCCTGGAGACACGGAGTTGTAAGGTTTAAATGAAATGACAGAGGCACCGGGCTTGGCACGGGACCTAATAGACGGTAAAGGCCCAATAATAAAGAATAGTCATGAACTGTACCAAAAAAAGACTATTTCTTAGCTGTTGGCTTTGACTATGATTTCAAATTTAGAGATAGCCTCAGCCAGGACAAGGAGGTGCTCAATCGTACAAGATCATTTCCAGAGTCCCCTGATTCAGAATACACTTCGCTCCCCTGTATCCTGCCCATGGATAGCTAAGAAATAGTCCTTTTTTGTATAATTCATGGCTATTGTTTATTATTGGATCTTTGTCATCTACTAGGTCCTGTGCCAAGCCCAACACCTCTATTATTTCATTTTAAATCTTACAACTCTGTGTCTCCAGGGCCTGGCACAGTGCTCAATAAATGTCAGTAGATTAAATGAACGGTCCTAGAGGTAGGTACTATTATCCCCATTTTACAGTTTGTAGAGATTAAATAACTTACTGAAGGTCACAGAGCTATTGAATGGCTGAGCCAGAACTTGAACCTGGGTGAGTCCGCTTTCAAAGCAGTGAGTATTTACTTACCACAGTATACTGCCTTTGATGTAGTGAAGAGCTTTGACTTAGAAAATAAGGCAAGGCCAGGCGTGGTGGCTCACGCCTATAATCTCAGCACTTTGGGAGGCCGAGGCAGGTGAATCATCTGAGGTCAGGAGTTCGAGACCAGCCTGGCCAACATGGTGAAACTCCATCTCTACTAATAATACAAAAATTAGCTGGGCATGGTGGTGCATGCCTGTAATCCCAGCTACTCTGGAGGCTGAGGCAGGAGAATCGCTTGAATGCAGGAAGCGGAGGTTGCAGTGAGCCGAGATCACACCACTGCACTCTAGCCTGGGCGACAAGAGCAAAACTCCGTCTCAAAAAAAAAGGAAGAAGAAGAAGAAGAAGAAGAAGAAGAAGAAGAGGAAGAAGAAGAGGAAGAAGAAGAGGAAGAAGAAGAGGAAGAAGAAGAGGAAGAAGAAGAGGAAGAAGAAGAAGAAGAAGAAGAAGAAGAAGAAGAAGAAGAAGAAGAAGAGAAGAAGAAGAAGAGGAGGAGGAGGAGGAGGAGGAGGAGGAGAAGAAGAAGAAGAAGAAGAAGAAGAAAGAAAATAACACTTAAGATTTAGGAAATAAATACCTTTATACCCTTGCCTGGAAGAGGAAACCCATAAGCATGGAGTCACGCTAAGTTGAAACAGGCAGCATGCCCTTTTTCAATATTCAGCATTGATAAAAGAAAGAGAAAACACTGGAACTGGTTGTGCTGAAATAGAAAAAAACACACAGCACTTTTGTCACCGCATCAAGGAATCAAGGGGAGAAAATGGTGAAGAAAGTAAAAAACTAGCAATTCTAATAATACACTTGAACTCTTTGAGCATGTCTAGTTAAGAGCACAGTCTCTGGAGTCAGGCATATCTGGATTTGAATTCTACCTCTGCCACTTGCTACCTAGTGACCTTAAGCAAGTTACTTAACCTCGTTAAGTATCAGTTTCCTCATTAGCAAAACAGAACACCCCTCCATAGGGTTGTTGTATGGGTGGATGAGATAATGTATGTAAATCACTTAGCACAACAGTCAGCATATAGTCATTGATCCAGAAATATTTGTTCCTAGTAGTACTAGTATTTCATTCTTTTTCCCCATTCTAAGATCAAATTTTGACCAAATAACAGGGAGAAACTGATCCCAAGAGACATGACAAGTCAGGATGGTTTTTAAAGCTGTGGAGTTTTAAACCAGACTCACTGCTCTATTTACAATTGAGAGTTGTTCCAAACATACTTCTCTTTGGAGGCAACCTCAGTACAGTTTGGCCCACATAGTAGACATATTTTAGATTACTTCAGAGGCCAAGTTAAATGACACTTTCCCTTTTTTGGTCTTCATCCAGATCACTTAATTCTAACCCTCTTTTCTTAATCCCATGCAAAGCTCAAGGCAATCAGATGTACGTTACTGTTGAGCCATCTATAACTTAGGAGGTTTTTTTGTTTTTTTTTTGACATTGCATTGATTGAGACTTTGGACACTCCAAATTGAACTCCACCATCAACACACATCCACAACACACACACACACACACACACACACACACCCACACCCTACAACTCCTCCCAAGCAACATAGCGAGAGAATGCAAATATAGCTGACTACAAGCAGATGGAATCACTACCTAACTCTACTCCTCAAGCTTGGGCATATAAACAATTCCCAATGATGGACAAGTCAGTGGAGCTCAGACTTGGCACCTGGGCTGACCCCCCCAACTCCACCCTTCCTCTGAACTACTCTTGAAGCCATGGCAGAAGAATGCCACAGTGGGGTAGCCCCTGCCAGAGGAGGAAACCCCAAATGGAAGCTTCTTCCAGAATTTCCAGGCTGCAGGAAACAATGAAATTCAAACATTGGATAACTCTTACTCATCAAAAGGGTCCTTTAATAGTGGAATGGGTTCAACACATTCTTCCCTTTAAAACTTTTCATCATTGGATTAAATCCACCGTCTGAGGTTTTCAAGCTCTTCATCCACTGGTCCTACTTCTCAAGCCGGCCAACCTTATCTTCCTAAGCTCACTAAAATGAACATTCTGCTTTAGACTGGCTCACCTTCAAAGTGACCCCAATTCCAACAAACACTCCCCAACCCATGTCCTTCATCCGCTCATTTATCCACACATCCATTCAGTAAGAATTTACTGAGAACCTATTATGTGCTTTGCACTGTTTTTAACACAGAAGGACAATGGTTTCTATTTTCCCAGTCCACAGCCTGGTGGGAGAAACAGTACTGGGTGCCAAGGACATGCTAGAGATGTGTACAGAGTCTTCTCTCAAAGGGAAACTTGTTTTCCCCCCATGATATGCCCCATATCACATACACATGCATGCTCACACACACACATACACACACACAACTCTAGCCTACGCTGGTTTCTTCATCTTTTCGCACTCTCTTTTTTTTTTCAAAACGTAGTCTTGCTCTGTCGCCCAGACTGAAATGCAGCGGTATGATCTTGGCTCACTGCAACCCCTGCCTCCCAGTTTTAAGCAATTCTCCTGCCTCTGCCTCCCGAGTAGCTGGGGATTACTGGCACGTGCCACCATGCCTGGCTAATTTTTGTAATTTTAGTAGAGATGGGGTTTTGCTATGTTGGCCAGGCTGGTCTCGAACTCCTGACTTCAGGTGATCCACCCGTCTCAGCCTCCCAAAGTGCTGGGATTACAGGTGTGAGCCACCGCGCCCAGCTTCACACCCTTTTTAGAGTCTCTGCAGCAAGTCTGTATGGTGTGTAAACCCATGAAGAAGCACCTGAGTATACCTTGCTTTGTGTTGTTCTCTACCTTCTACAAACGACTTCTCTCCATCCCTCATAATTATAGGTAGAGGTTAAATTCTTCACATTGCCTCGCACATTCCTGAGCACAGAATGAGCACCTGGGTAACCTGTTGGCCTGCTGTTCTTTTCTCCATGCTGCAGCCAGAGTGATCTTTATAAAACACAGACATCATCTCCTTTCTTAAAAAACCTTCATTGGATTTCTTGCTCTGAGGATAAAAAATGAAAATCGTAACACAGCCAGAGGCACTGAGCCTAGTCAATCCTGTCTGCCTCTCGCATCGCCCTGCTGTGCTCTCCCAGCTCTCAGTTCCCTCCGTGGGGCTTTTGCAACCCCTGCCTGGAACCCTCCCCACTCCGTTCCCCATTCTGCCTTTTGAATCTTATTCATCCTTCATATTTCAGCTCAAGCAGCCCTCCCCTGGAAACCTTCCTACATCTACCAAATGAAATCAAGTTCCTCTTTGTATTTTGACTCCACGAAATTGTTTCTTTCCTTAAGAGCATTTATCTCAATTGTAATTAAACCTTAATTAGTGGGATGATTTGATTAATGATTGCCACCCCACTAGGTGGTAAGCTACATGAGAACAGTGGTTGTGTCTAGTTTTGCTCACAAGGCTGCTATCTCTAGCACCTGTCCCAGTGCTGACACATAATAAATATTTGCTGGATGACCCAATCAATGAATAAGTGAACATTAAGTACCTCTGTACTCAATCCTAGGAATACAAGAATTTTGATCAGGAGAGTATCTCTATCAGACATGCCTGTAACGTAGCTTCCCCTGGGGATGGTGTAGAAGATGGATTGGAAAGGGTCAATAGTGGAAACAGGGAGATTTGTTAGAAGGCTGATGCAGAAGTAGGGCTCTAGACCTGGGCAAAAGTGAGCCATAGAAAGCTAAGAGGAAAAGCAAGATACGAAAAAGAGAGCTCTGGGATGGGCATCAGGAGATCTGAGTCCCAGTAACAAATCTGCCGTTAATATTTCTCCTCTTTGACCTTCAGTTTCTCCCTCTGCAAAATGAAGGAGTCTTCTCTATTCATTACTATTTCTTCATAGTATCATTATTATTGCATAGAAAAATCAACTGTGTATATTGGGAGGACTACTTATGGATCAGCTCTTGGCAAAATTGGGAAACAGACAACGTTGACCTTGAGTTTTCTTATGAAAATTCCCATAAAATATCAAGCAACAGGACACGCTGTCACTCAGCCTTACCAAGCTGGGAGAGGGGTCAGGGAGGAGGACTCCCTTCTACTTGGACCTACAGCAAGTGCTCTGTTGATATTTGAAAAAGAACATCAAGGACATTATGTGCTGTTATAACTGTTAGCATTTCTCTTCCTAATAAAAATGGCTCATATTCAGAGTGATAAGGATATGCTAGGCACAGTTCTAAGCATTTTATGTGCATCATTTCATTCAATTTTCACTACAGCCCTGCGAGGCAGGTATTGTTCTTTTTTAATTGTATTGTTTAATGGACATATCGTAATTTTACATTCATGGAGTACCTAGTGATGTTTCAATGTGTATCAATGTATAGTGATCAGATCAAGGCAATTAGCGTGTCTATTATCTCAAACATTTGTCATTTATTTGTGTTGAGGCTGTTCTATCTTCCCTCTAGCTATTTGAAACTACACAATATATTATTGTTAACTATAGTCATTTCACATATTCTTATTCATATTTCATAGTTGAGAAAATTAAGATCCAGAGAGATTAAGTAAATCTACAGAGTTAAGAAGAGGCAGAAATGGGGTTACTAACAATTATACTGTACCTTTCACATCAGATAGCTTTCTTAGCTAATGCTTCCCTTATCTGCAACGATTGAACAGCTAAAAAAATGGTGTGAGTGATGTGGCTTTCTGATGGGTGTGGCCTAGACTGGTCATAGAATTTAGTGTCAAGTAGACTGGGATTATAAAGGCTCAGGGAAGTTACAAGGCTGAGGCTGAGTTCAGAGCCAGAAACCTGAAAACTATTTTTTTTTTTTTTTTTTGAGACGGAGTCTTGCTCTGTCACCCAGGCTGGAGTGCAGTGGCGCGATCTCTGCTCACTGCAAGCTGTGCCTCCCGGGTTCACACCATTCTCCTGCCTCAGCCTCCCGAGTAGCTGGGACTAGAGGTGCCCACCACCATGTCCTGCTAATTTTTTGTATTTTTTAGTAGAGATGGGGTTTCACCGTGTTAGCCGGGATGGTCTCGATCTCCTGACCTCATGATCCGCCCGCCTCGGCCTCCCAAAGTGCTGGGATTACAGGCTTGAGCCACCATGCCCGGCCAAAACTGTTTCTTAAGATTGTTCTACATTCCAAGTTGCCAACATTAAGTTCCGTGTAGCAAACGCCCTTGGGGAACCCACCCTGGTTACAAATCCAAGCCCTAAACTATTCCTGCTCTGCTTCTTAAGCAGCAAAATATAGGGGTAGAAGATGTAATAGAACTCGATGTCTTCCCAGTTTTATTTGTGTGTGTGTGTTTTATTTTTATCTGTTTTTTTTTTTTTTTTTTTTTGACAGGGTCTCACTCTGATACCCAGGCTGGAGTGCAGTGGCATGATCTTGGCTCACTGTAGCCTCCACCTCCCAGGTTCAAGCAATTCTCCTGCTTCAGCCTTCCAAGTAGCTGGGACTACAGGCACATGTCACCATGCCTGGCTAATTTTTGCATTTTTTTAGTAGAGTCAGGGTTTCACCATGTTGGCCAGGCTGGTCTCAAATTCCTGACCTCAAGTTATCTGCCTGCCTTGGCCTCCCAAAATGCTGGGATTACAGGCGTGGGCCACCATGCCCAGCCTTGTGTGTTTTTTTTTAAATAGTGACTTTTGAACTGAAAATATCCTTTTACTTTTTGGTTTCTTTCTACTAAGGCTGTTGTTTTCAAATCCTTTAAACTTTTCTTGTTTTCTTTTAGATTCCGCCTTGCTTTGCCAGAGTCCAATCGCAGCAACATTGAGGTAGGAATCTGAGCTCTTGGGGTTACCAAGCACTGGAAGAACGAGGATTCTCCTACTATATATAATAGCGAATTAATTGTTTTCTGTGACTTGGAGTCCTTGATTCCTCCATAATTGTAGGACTTAACTTTGAAATTCTTTATGTAGCTACTCATCAATTGAGCCCATTAACCATTCACGAGAGGAACTCTACAGTTTACTTTTATTTATGCAGAAATACTTTTTTAAAAACTCAAAAGACTGTTGAGACATTGTATAATGCTAGAAAAACAGGCATTCTCAGGGAATGCCTGTTTTCTCAATAAAATAATCCTCTAGAGTTATAGACGAGACATATAGAGTTACATATCCCAAAGGAATATGTAAATTATTAAGCCATGATTAGGTTTACTCTTTGAACACTTTCTGCCCATCTCCTAAAATTAGGTCAATGCTGCTTGTATGGATACCTTTGTGGGAGGGGGGTTCCCAGCCTTGTGACTTTCTGATTGGAAGATGATACCCCAACATGTGACTTGGAATCCCCCTTCCCTCAAGCTTCAGGAAGATCAGCTAAATCACTATCTCATACATTCATGGATGGCACTATCATAGAGAAGTTAAGTGGGTTTCGGTGTCAGAATGCCCGGGTAGAATAGTGCCTAGTTCATGGGCAGCACTACATAATGTTAATTATTAGTATTAACGGTATTCATTTACTGATAAATACTTATTGAGCCCGGAACTGTTCTAGACAAAACAGATAAAATCTCTACCCTCAAGGCGCTTACATTCTAAAGCAGTGGTTCTCAACTAGTGATTCTCAGCTAGGGACATCTGGCAATGTCTGAAGACATTTTTGGTTGTCACAGCCTGAGATGGAAGGAGACATACTAATGACACTTGGTGGGTAGAGGCCAGGGATGCTGCTACACATTCACAGTGCACAGGACAGCTCCCAACAGCAAAGAATGATCCATCCCAAAACGTCAAGAGTGCCACTCCTGGGAAACCCTGTTCCAGAGTGTGTGTGACTGTGCTTATGTGTGTGTGACAGGCTGAGAGTAGCATACAACAAACAAACAAATATAGTGTTTACTAAAAGAAATACTATAGAGAAAAAGAAATCAGGATAGGCAGTGCAAGTAGTTGGGAGCTGAAATTACAACCTTGGGGTTGTTGAAAGGATTAGCTGAGATTATATATGAAATGCACTTAGCACACTGACCACATAGAAGGCATTAAATGAACAGTGGCCACTATTTTCATATTCGCAGTAACTGTTTCAGTTATTGTCACTTCTGTGTTTTCATATTTACGGTAATTATTTCAGTTATTGTCATTTTTACGTCAAGAGGCAGTGTAGCATAATAGTTTCATACATAAACTCTGAGGTCCCAACTGCAAAAGTGAATTCCCATTGTCCATTTTCACAATGGTGATAAAGACATACCCACTGCACTCCAGCCTGGGCGACAGAGTGAGCCTCCATCTCAAAAAAAAAATTTTTAAATAAAAAAAAAAGAAAAATTGGGTGTTCTGGGGATGGCAATAGCTTTGGAGCGTGATGTAACACAAGGGAACTCCTGTGGCCGAGATTCCCAGTAAGTAAAGGGAAGATTGCTAATTGGGAAATCTAATAGTTGTTCTTGACTGTCTTGGTAGATACCTGAGCTGCCACATTTGCTGGCACCATGTAGTCCCTCTGAATTTGCTATCACCAAAATCCAGTGTAGAGGGAAGCAGAAGTGTCTGTCCTCAAGAGGGAAAAAGTTAGAAAACCCTGTAATATGATTTTCTACAAAGCTATTATCCCTCTGAAAAGATCCTAGTTATTGCTTTCTAGCCTAAGAAGTTCTGGGAAAGTACACATCCAAACCAGGCATGGTACTTTCGAAGCACCCATGATTGGCCAGGTGTGGTGGCTCCCACCTGTAATCCTAGCACTTTGGAAGGTCAAGATTGGAGGTTTGCTTGAGCCCAGGACTTTGAGACTGGGCAACATAGTGAGACTCTGTCCCTAAAAAAAATTTTTTTAACTTAGCCAGGTGTAGTGGTGCACACTTGTAGTCCCAGCTGCTTGAGAGGCTGAGGCAGGAAGATTGCTTGAGCCCAGGAGTTCGAGGCTGGAGAGAGCCATGATCACACTACTGCACTCCAGCCTGGGTAACAAAGCAAAAAAAAAAAAAAAAAGCCCGATCTGCCAATTGATTCTATTTCCTCTTTTATTTTAGGTCTTGAGGTTTGAAAATATTCTATCGTCCATTCTTCACTTTGGAGTCCTCCCACTGGCCAATGGTAAGGGATTATTGGAAAACAATGTGACTGTAACATCGGCTAACATTTAACATCTGCATCGGCTGCACTGGGGATTGTTTGGGACTTTCCACCCTGAAGCTTGTACTTCTATCATGTTATCATGAATCCAGGCCAGCGTCAGAATTTGCAAAGTTTGTACCATCAATGCTGTGGTGGCACATTTAGTTATTCTAGGTCCAAGCCCTGTTAGCAATTCTATTTGCAAACTCAGCAAGATCGGCCAACTCTGGTTGAGTTAAGGAGATTGAAACCATGCTCCTTAGGCAGTAAAGAATCTCCTTCCAGTCAACCGGAAACGAGATTATTTTCCCTACGGGATATCTCCGTGGTTCTTATGCCAGGACCACTAACTGGATAGACACAGTTTTCATGAATGACAATCCTGGGCCTTCTCCTTGCACAGCAGTTGTTCATAAACTGCAGCATCTGGAGTCTGGCCCAGTATATTAGACACCAAAATGTTCTCAAGACCCACTAATTATGTATTTTCAAAATATACATCGGGTAGGCTAAAAATGGACAGCATTTCTCTACTGTCCAAATGAACATAATTGTAGGTGCATTTTTTATTAATCACAGATTAATGAGCAATTCTTCCAGGAAAATTCTAGGGACATATCAGAGAGAATGCAAACATGGAACCGGGGAGAATGAAAAGATCAACTATTAAAAAGCTGTCCATGCCGGGCTCAGTGGCTCACGCCTGTAATCCCAGCACTTTGGGAGGCCAAGGCAGGCGAATCACCTGAGGTCAGGAGTTCGAGACACGCCTGGCCAACATGGTGAAACCCTGTCTCTACTAAAAATACAAAAAAACTTAGCCAGGCATGGTGGTGGGCATCTGTAATCTCAGCTACTCGGGAGGCTGAGGCAGGAGAATCACCTGTACCTGGGAGGTGGAGGTTGCAGTGAGCCAAGATCACACCATTACATTCCAGCCTGGGCAACAAGAGCAAAACTCCATCTCAAAAAAAAAAAAAAAAAGCAAGCTGTCAGTCAGTCTCTTACTAAAAAGCTTGCTAAAACCTCTGTGCTTGTGCCCAATTGTTTTACGTCTTGTTCTATATTTTAGCAAAATTGCAGCAAGGATTTCCTCTGTCCAATCCACACAAATTCTTATTCGTCAATTCAGATATTGAAGTTCTTGAGGTAAGAATGCAAATCTCACCTCTTAACTGACCCATTTCTTTTTATAGTAGACTAAGCCTCCTCCTGTTTTGCTTGTTTTTGTTGTTGTTGTTTGTTTTTGTCCTGCTTTGCTTTTTCCCAGACCAGGGAATCTTATAAACATGTTTAGTTCTTAAATCACAATTAACAGAAAATATTTAGAGTTGAGTCTAAAAATCAGACCAAGATCAATTTCACTTAGCAGCCAAATCCACAGTATAAGAAGATGCCCCTTAGCACGCTTTATTTTACTTATTCCACAAGACAATCTGTAAGGCTGGAATTATTAGTCCCATTTTACAGATGAGGAAAGGAGGACTCAGAGAGAAGTGGCTCAGGCAGCTGGAAAGGAGCATGGCTGGGACAGGACTGGCTCTTCTGATTCTCCCAGTCAGAAGACTTTCCCCTGAACCAAAGGCACACACCTTTGAGTTCAGGGATCGAATCGTTTTCCGGCTCATCATTATGCATTCACTTCAGAATACCTTTTTTTCTTTCTTTCTTTTTGGCATTGTTGTTTGTTTGGGGAGGTGGAAATATGTTTCTAAAGAAATTCTCCAATCCTGTACAGTCCAGGGGTCCCCAACACCCAGGCCCAGGACCTGTCCCGGTCTGTGGCCTGTTAGGAACCTGGTTGCACAGCTGGAGGTGAGCGGCCGAGGAGTGAACATTACTGCCTGAGCTCCACCTCCTACCAGATCAGCAGCAACATTAGATTCTCATAGGAGCACAAACCCTATTGTGAACTGCCTGTGCAAGGGATTTAGGTTGCACGCTCCTTATGAGAATCTAACTAATGCCTGATGATCTGAGGTGGAACAGTTTCATCCCGAAACCATCCCCCAATCCCAGTCAGTGGAAAAATTGTCTTCCATGAAACCAGTCGCTAATGCCAAAAAGGCTGGGGACCGCTGCCCTACACTACCGTGCATGCTCTCCCACTTCCCTGCTTCTCCCCCACTGCTTCTACAATGGCTAAGTCACATCGGGTGACAGTACTCCAAAATGGCCTTTCCTTTCTCTGGGGCATTCACAAAGTAGGGCCAGGGTAGAGGAGGGCCTGACTCTCTGTAGGACCTGGTAAAGAAACCATCTCTCAGCTGGGCATGGTGGCTCATGCTTGTAATCCTAGCACTTTGGGAGGCTGAGGTGGTCAGGAGTTCGAGACCAGCCTGGCCAAAATGGTGAAACCCTGTCTCTACTAAAAATACAAAAATTAGCCGGGTGTGGTGGCACACACCTGTAGTCCCAGCTGCTTGGGAGACTGAGGCACGAGAATCACTTGAAACCGAGGGACGGAGCTTGCAGTGAGCCAAGATCGCACCACCACACTCCAGCCTGGGCGACAGCCTTTGAGACTCCATCTCAAAATTAAAATAATAAAAAAAAGAAGCCATCTCTTCCTCACGCCTCAGACAAACCCAGACATGCCCAAGTTTTGACGTTATCTTCATTGTCACATCCTTTCCAGGGTTTCCTTTTGATTTCCACCGACCTGAAGTATGAAACATCCTCAAAGCAGCAGCCAAGTTTCCACGTATGGGAAGGTCTGAACCTGATAAGCAGACAGTGGAGGGGGAAGTCAGCCCCTTGATTGCCGGTTTGCAATTCACCCCAGGAAGTAAATGGTCCTTAATCCTACAACTACTGTAAACCCAGAAGGGAAAGACAGTACACACTGGAATTGTAAAGCCCTTGTGAATTGCTTAGGCAGAAAGTTTTCTTTCTTAAGCCTTCAGGAACCCAGAATAAGGCAGACTCTGTTAAAGGGATAAATAGAGGTGTCTGAATGTGAGTGTATGCATGCTGCGTGTGTCTGTGTTTATGTTTGTTTGTTTGTTTGGGGCAAGAAAGATTCTAGGACAAGAGCTAGGCATGTACTTCTGACCAGGTGGGTAAGCAACTCTAAGTCTGTATTTGTATTGGTCATTCTCAGTGGAAATCCCTTAGGCCCTCTAGTGGTTTTCCCCTACCTGCATATTGGTTTTCATGTTTTATATTCACTGTTACTATCTTCTGTGTTTAATTAAAATTGTTTTCTATCAACTTCAATCTTGGTTTTTTTATTTGAGAAATGGCCTGCCCTGAATTTTTAAAAAATAAAATAAGAGGCCAGCCACAGTAGGCCATGCCTGTAATCCCAGCACTTTAGGAGGCCAAGGTGGGCGGATCATGAGGTCAAGAGGTCGAGACTATCCTGGCCAACATGGTGAAACCCAGTCTCTACTAAAAATACAAAAATTAACTGGGAGTGGTGGCACGCACCTGTAGTCCCAGCTGCTTGGGAGGCTGAGGCAGGAGAATCGCTTGAACCTGGGAGGCGGAGGTTGCAGTGAGCCGAGATGGCACCACTGCACTCCAGCCTGGCGACAGAGCAAGACTCCAACTCAAAAAAATAATAAAATAAAATAAGACATAGAAAAGGGAAGAGACCTAAGGTTGCACAGACATCAAGGCTTGATTTTAAAAGAGAATTCTTTACCTCTGAAATCTTTCCAAGAAGGAACAGGGTAACCACAGGAAACTCTAAAAGTTGTATCACTTCAAGCTTTGGGATTTTTCACCCACCACAGATTCAATGAAATGGCAGTGCAGAGTACTAAACTCAGACAATTCATAACTGAGAATGATATTAATGTGTCAGAGCACCTAATCAATGGGGAGAAATTGGGGCAGAAGAGAAGAAAAGCGGAACCAGTGTAGATAATGCAACAAATGAATGGAAACTACATACTGTTTTTTGCAGCACTTACAGTCTAGTGGGGGAATGGAAAGAGGAGAGCTGTTTATAGAGTGCTTGCCGTGTGCCAAGCCCCGTGCTGATTACCCCTCCAGTGTCACTTCATTTAGCCTTCTACTCAAGAAAGAATTATGATCCCATTTTAGAGATGACGAAACAGAGATAAGAGGGGTTAATCACACCAAGTCAGTAAATGGCACAGATAGAAATTGAATCTTGCGTCTTTCTAATCCCAAAGTTGCAGTTGTTGACATGAGGCCGAACTGGAAACTGAAATCACTTAAAGCTCACTTACCACTATGAACAAGAGACACGGCGTATAAAAGCATGATTAAAGAGGTCTTGATCATCAAATGCGGCTAGACTGGGGAGTTTTGGCGATCCATAAGGGCTGTGATTTGATCATTTTGTAGTATATGTCTGGCCACAATAGATGCACCCACAAGTGTTTGTCAGAATAAATGATAAGCTGCCATGCTTCATTCTTTGGGATGCTCCTTTCTGACCAAAAAAGTTATTTGGTGTATATCCAGATTCATTCTGAAACATAAATGTTCAGCTATGGTATTTACTCAAACAGGTTTTTCTTTCTCAGCTGCTGGCGTTATCTTTTTCCCCTCCCAGCTGAGGGTGTAAACTCCAAGCCAATGCACCGAACCTGACCCAGACTCAAGGTGTTTTCATAAGCTGCTGAAAAGCATTTCCAAAACAAAAGATAACTAGATTATACTTTAAACTTCTGGATTTCGCTTAGCTGTAGTTTAGAGGAAATCGACTAATAAAGATCCTAAAGTTATACACTACAGGACAGTACAACTTAACCAGAGGAAAGACATTGGCCTGAAGAATTTTGAGCCTCGGCGCTTGCCGTTGCTCATCTGCTGCGGCGCTGGTCGCGCCTGCGCTTTGGTTCTTGGAAGGCGGTGCTCTGAGAAGCCGGACTACGCGGCAGCGGCTCTTCAAAGCGGAGCCGGGAGTTTTTGCTACAGTTTTCGCCACCATGAGTCGCAGCTATAATGATGAGCTGCAGTTCTTGGAGAAGATCAATAAAAACTGCTGGAGGATCAAGAAGGGCTTCGTGCCCAACATGCAGGTAAGGCAGGAGAGCAAATGGCGGGGCCTTCCGTGCTCCGTCCCCGGCCCGGCCGGCGTCCACTGCGCCCTCTGGACCTCCCCTGACCACTGGGTCCGCCCCGGCCCCTTGCAGAGTTTCCCTCATCCCGTCCTTCTCCCCTCACGGTTCTGGGGCCGCCCAACCTGTTCCGGCACCACCTCCCGCCAGGAGAGGTCCCCGAACCACGAGGACAAGCTAAGTGCGGTGGATATGGGAATCTAAATAAATACGAAATTGGGGTTTCCAAAGCGTTTTCACAGATCAGTCTCATAAACGTATCGTGAGCTGTTTTACGTTCACAGAAACTTCAGTGATCTTTTCCAGGGTGGAACAGCCAGCCCCAGGTTCATTTGCTGGGACTGGAATTCACCTCCTCTGAGTCATGCTGGTTATTTAAATAACGTTTACAAACCTTTGTTCACTAAACCAGGTTTTCAGCATTCAGTATCGCATGTTGGTTTTTAATAAAGCGATGTCATTTCTTGCAGTAGCGCAGGGCAGGGCCTGTTTGATTTTAATATTCACTTCACAGAAGGACCTCGAGGATCTGTCGGTGACATAGCTTCCTCTACCCACCTAGGAAGAAGCTCAGCCAGGACTTGATGTCCGGTTTACTTCTTTGACGTCCCAGATGGAGACTTGAGGGCTCAGGATCATCAGATAGTTTGAAAGCCTGGGCTCTGTATCTCTCGGCCTTCATCACCATCTGTGCTCATATTTTTATTAATGTGAAAAAAGAAAACGTTTATGAAGTTTTGCAACGTATTTTTAAATAGTTTTTGAAATCCCTGAAGGTGCCAAGTAAATGCTTCAAAGGTTTACCGTCTCGTCTCACGTCTTGGTAAACAGCTCCCAATAGTCACTCCATTCTTTTATTCAGAATCAAAGCTTACTGAGTTTCCCTTGTTGGCAAGTCACTTACACTGAGGGAAGAAAAAGCGCACGGGGATAAATCTGTGTTCTGTTTGCTGTTTGGCCACTTTCTTTGTGTGGAAACCGTTACCCTGAAGGAAGGAATAGAAAATCTAACATAGGGAGAGCGCAGTGGTTCATGGCCTGTAATCCCAACGCTTTGGGAGGCCAAGGCGGGAAGATCCTTTGTGCCTAGGACTTTGGAGACCTGCCTGGGCAATATAGTGGGACCCTGTCTCTACAAAAAAAATTTAATTAGCCAGGCGGGGTGGTGTGCACCACAGCTACTCAGGAGGCTGAGGCAGGGGGATCGCTTGAGCCTGGGAGATCTTGGCTGCAGTGACCCGTGATCATTCTAAACTGCACTCCAGCCTAGGTGACAGAGTGAGTCTCAAAAAAAAAAAAAAAGAAAAGAAAAAGAAAACACCATGACATGATTATCTGTAGGATCTAATAACACAGACTGTCATTGTCTGGCAGGTGTTCTGACTCAGCCTTTGATGCACACACTGCTGCTCATTCTATCTAGGGGCAAGTCTCATTTTGCTAGGCAGTTCTGGTTTAAGTTTGTATACAGCACTTTACTACCACCTTTCCTTTGGGAATAGAGACTTGGAATGTTAATGCATTGCTCTTAAAACGCTATTGACTTCTAAGCGTGAATTGTGCTTCCATATGAGAGCAGTGAATTTCACACAGATAATCATCTGTTACTAAATCTCCATTTCTCCCCCAAGACCCACATGTTGGACTAAAAATTTCTCTTTATTCCCTTAAAACACTCCCTTCCCATCTTTACGTCATTTTTGCGTTTAGTTCCTAGATGTTCTGCTGCGCCAGTGATGTCTCTTGTCTTCAAAGAACCAGCTCTACAGGATCTCTGTGAAACCTCTCCCAGCTCCCTAGACTGTTGAGGCACTTCCTCATCAGATTCTTCCATAGCACTGTGTACTTAATGTTATGGCACTTGCTTCATTGCACTCTGATATTCTTATCAGAATATAAGGGCTGTACTGGCTGGGTGCGGTGGCTCACGCCTGCAATCCCAGCACTTTGGGAGGCTGAGATGGGCGGATCATGAGGTCAGGAGATCGAGACCATCCTGGCTAACACGTGAAACTTCGTCTCTACTAAAAATACAAAAAATTAGCTGGGCGTGGTGGCGGGCACCTGTAGTCCCAGCTACTCGGGAGGCTGAGGCAGGAGAATGGCGTGAACCCAGGAGGCAGAGCTTGCAGTGAGCCGAGATCATGCCACTGCACTCCAGCCTGGGTGACAGAGCAAGACTCAGTCTCAAAAAAAAAAAACAAAAGTATATAAGAGCTGTATTGTGTACTGGGAGCTCCTTGAAAGGAAGATCTTATATTCTTTCTATCTCCCCTAGTGCCCAGGACAGTGCTTCATGCATAGTAAATCCTCAGTTAATGTTTGGTGAATTAATAAATGTGACCCTTAAGAAATTATACTGGAAATATTTTCCATCAGTGGGTATTAAATTGTTATTTATGCAATGGTGATGAAGTCATCTTTCTGATAAAAACTACATTCAATTGATTAAGTGTTAAATCTTTGGTTCTCCATTACTGGACAGCTCTTTCACAATATTTGACCTGTGATAAAAATGTTCTGCTCTTTAGTGTTACATAAGTATGTCGTCCATTGCCTTCTGTGTGCTGCCTCTATTGTCAAGCTTTAAAATTATAGATTTTTTAAAAAATTATATAGCTTTCAGAACTGAGCACACAACTACGTAGCTGCATGTTAAATTTTTCTTCTCACTATTTACCTAACTAGAGATTTGTAAGTCACCACTAGAGCACAATAAAATGTAATTTGCTATTGGCTTAAACACAGAATAAACATACTAGGTTAGATGACTACGTTTTATGTTTAGAATTGGACTTTTTGATTCATTTGGTTTTTTTTTTTAATTTTCAAAAAACCATTGATATTTTTGAAGCTTGAGGATTAAGACCTTTGGGCTTTGTGAGAGTATAGTTGGAAGATTTTTCTTTATCACAAAAAGATGCTGAATCTGTTGAATTCTTAAATGTGGTTTTGAGGGTATGAGAATAAACAAAACAATTTGTGAACATTGCAGAATTTTTCTTAAGGTATATTTTCCGATGGGAGCAGCTCGTAGTCTTTGATAGGAAGTTTTCTGTGTGCTTAAGGTAACGTGAAAGTGTTTGGTAAAGAGTAAAGCACAGTAAATATTGCATACAGTGCATTCTGTCCAGTGCCTACACTTGCCGCGCATGTACTCAGACATTGCTTTTCACTTTCCTTGGTACTAGGTTGAAGGTGTTTTCTATGTGAATGATGCTCTGGAGAAATTGATGTTTGAGGAATTAAGGAATGCCTGTCGAGGTGGTGGTAAGTACATTAGAGTTTCACTTGTGTTAGTACGGTAGTGCCTTCCCTGTGGCCTGAAAAAGTGGCAACTCAAATAATTATAATTCTGAAATATTGTCAAGGAGTGATTACAACTTAAAAGTAAGACCAAAAGCACTTACTTATTTGTGATCACATTGTCAGCCAGTTGGCGTTATAGAACGGATTTGAAGCTCCATCTGGAATTTGAAGCTGGGTAGAACTTGTTTCTCAGCTAACCTTGAACAATAATAGCAAGTGACCTACCATTTGTTTTGCACTTACTATATTCCAGGCATGTTACTAGGTGCTTTGCAGAGATTATCTCATGCAATACTTACAGTGACTCTAAAAGGAGCTCCCTTCCATCTTGCATCTCAAACATCCTTCTAGGCTTTGTTGTCTTAGTAGCCCTAATGACTACCTCTTCACGTTATACAGTCTAAAAACATGAATATAATTCATGCTAAAAATCAAGTGTGTTGTCTTTTCTAATACCCAATTTTTGTCTTCAGGTGTTGGTGGCTTCCTGCCAGCCATGAAACAGATTGGCAATGTGGCAGCCCTGCCTGGAATTGTTCATGTGAGTCAGAGTTCAGAACTTTAATCATTTATATTTCTTAAAGTCCATTGAATGGATGAATGGCCATGCCTGATAGTGGTGTCATTTAGACAATGACCTTTGGACAGCCAGACATAACCATGAAGCCAGGCTCAGTGGCTCATGCCACCCGCAACACTTTGAGAGACCAAGATGGAAGGATTGCATGAGCCCAGGAATTCAAGACTAGTCTGGGCAACATGGCAAGACCCTGTCTATACCAAAAAAATTAGTCAGGTGTGATGTCACATGCTTGTTGTCCCAGCTACTTAGAATGCTAAGTGGGAGGATTGCTTGAGCCCAGAGTTCCACACTGCACTGAGCCATGATCACGCCACTGCACTTTTAGCGTGGATGGCAGAGTGAGACCCTGTCCCTAAAAATAAAAAATAAAAGGAAATAACCATGGACCTAAAGAAATAATTGAATCTGGATGGTATTTCAGTTTCTGAATGCATTTGGCTAGAATCTGTAAGTGTTAAGAACCTTCGAAGTAGTTTTTGTGTTTTGTTTCTTATCATGGTAACATTATTCCTGGATCAGTGCACCACCATTGTAAGTTTCATTGTAAGTTTCACTTCACTGTTTCAATGTAAGTTTCATTGTAAGTTTCGCTTGGTTGTAAGTTTCACTTCCTATGCAGAGGATCATTGAAGAAGAAATGGCAAGAAGTTTAAGGGTTAGCACTGAGGGGGAGGAAGAGAGGACAGCATAGCCCCCACCACAGTTTAACATTCATATTCTATCAGAGGTAGATGTTGAAAATGGATCTATTCGGCAGACATTTTTGAGGTCTTCTTTATGCCAGTTACCATGTTGGGCACTTGGTAGAGGGAATGAAATGGTATGGCTTGTGTATATAAGGAAGTTGTTAGTGTCTGGGTATCTCCATATATCCTGTGTTTGACCTGCATTCTTCCTGGGTCAGGGTCCTTTTCTAGGCTCCACATGTAGGAAGTCTACAGTATTTATACCATCAAATGGATTACATTTGGCTGTGATTACTTAAACTAATGACCTATATAAATCAGTTATTTTCCTCTTCTTAACCTGACAAACCAAAGTTTGTCAGTGTCTTAAGATTATTTTTAAAATGTAATAGTACATTAAACTTAGTATGTGTTACTCCTATATCATGTTATTTTGAGGCTTTTCTGTTTTGTATTTCCTTAATTAACATTCAGATCTTATAAAAAAGTTTTTTTCTCACTGTATTTAGCTTTGTGATTAGGAGTTCTTACTATTTCCATGCATATAGAAGATTTTGTGAAAACACAGTCTTGATTTAGGGAAAGCTTCAGCCTGCAACCTGTTTGAGAATCAGTGTCAGGTCCATCAGGGCATCCAGGGTAGCAGGTCAAGACACTTGTATTTCATTTTCTAATTCTTTTTCAGCGATCTATTGGGCTTCCTGATGTCCATTCAGGATATGGGTTTGCTATTGGGAACATGGCAGCCTTTGATATGAATGACCCTGAAGCAGTAGTATCCCCAGGTAAGATCACTGTGGACATCTGCTGTTAAGTGTGTAGCATTGGCCGGGCACGGTGGCTCACGTCTGTAATCCCAGCACTTTGGGAGGCCGAGGCGGGTGGATCATGAGGTCAAGAGATCAAAACCATCTTGGCCAACATGGTGAAACCGTGTCTCTATTAAAAATAGAAAAATTAGCTGGGGGTGGTGACGCGCACCTGTACTCCCAGCTACTTGGGAGGCTGAGGCAGGAGAATCACTTGAACCCGGGAGGCGGAGGTTGCAGTGAGCCGAGTTCGTGCCACTGTACTCCAGCCTGGTGACAGAGCAAGACCCCATCTCAAAAAAAAATGTGTGTAGCTTCTCTCTATGGACCATAGCCTTTGTGAAACAGAGCACTTCTCTCCATGTGCATGACTCAGTCTCATCATGTTCTGTCATTTTTCTTTGATATTTACTGGAAGTATTGCTTGTGGATACTGAGAGGCTATTACAACTTCAAGCAAAGCATATTTTTATTGAAAATTTTGGGAGGCTCCTACCAAACATCATGGTATTCAGACTTTGGCTACAAAACAAACTGGCAATTTTTTTTTATCTTTGTAAATCAGTTACCTCGTGGACAGATCACGTCTAATAATGTTAATGACCACACAGTATTAGTAGCTTAGATGAGTTCAGCTGTGTAAAATATTTAGAACAGTGCTAAGCAGGTAGAACATATTCAGTAATACTATCATTGTTATTCAATGATAACATTGAATATACAGAAGGTTGCATACGCCTTCTGCTGTGGTTATGGGGTGCTTTCAATAAACATTCTATATCAGAAGTAATATCTTTGCTGTTAAAGAGTGTGAATTTAGAAATGAAGTTTAAATGACATCTTGAGAGTTCTGTTTCTAGCAGTGGTGGACTAGGTTGTTTCAGACCAATCCCCTGCTGAAAATAATTAGAAAGGCTGGGTAAAAAATTTTTTCTTAAATCTGTTTGAAGGCACAGAAAATCTGCTAAGGCAGTAAGAATTTGCGAAGTCAAGATCTAGAGGAAAAGAAGAAAAAGTTCCAGATATGTGAGCCCTACATGTAGGGCTGTTTGGAGGTGACTGCAAATTTCAGTCAGTAAGAATATACATGATTTGAATGATCCAATAACAAACTTGACACGTGACCTCTAATATACATGTGTGGTTGTGTGTGTGTATGTGCACTTGCATTGTAGTACAGCCAAGCAGTGCAGAGTATACATTTTTTTTCAAATGCACACAGTTTACCAAAACTGACCACATGCTGAGCGGTAAAGCAGGCATCAAATTTCAAAGCATTGAAATCATATAGACCAGCAGTCCTCAAACTTTTTGCACTCGGGACCACTTTAGTAATAATTATTGAGGATTAATCTCAGACTCTTATCAATGTTTACCTTATTAGAAATTAAAACACATTTTTTAAAGACAAGAATATATAAGTACATGTCTCATCCATTAGAACAAAGATGTTATGTCATATAGCTTTTGAGAAATCTCACTGTACAGTCATGGGAGAATATGAATAAAATAGACAAATAATGTCTTAGTATTATAAAATGAATCTTACACACCTGAAATGGTCTTCCCCCTCACCCCCACCCCAGGGTCTCTGGACCATACTAAAGAACCCACTCATATAAGAGGATATTTTCTGACCACAGTGGAATTAAATTAGAAATGGTTTAAATAAAAACTAGACCTAGCACTTTGGGAGGCCAAGGCGGGCGGATGGCTTGAGCTCAGGAGTTTGAGAACAGCCAGGGGCAACATGACAAAACCCCGTCTCTAAAAAAAAAAAAATACAAAAAATTAGCCGGGCATGGGGGCATGCGCCTGTAGTGCCAGTTACTTGGGAGGGCCAAGGTGGGAGGATCACTTGGGTCTAGGAGGCAGAGGTTGCCGTGAGCTGAGATTGCGCCACTGCAGTCCAGCATGGGCGACAGAGTGAGACCCTGTCTCAAAAACAAACAAACAAACTAGAAAAACTTTGGGAGGCCAAAGCAGGAGGATCACATGAGACCAGAAGTTTGAAACCAGCCTGCACAACATAGGGAGACCCCCATCTCTACAAAAAGTTTTAGAATAGCTGGGTATGGTGGCGCACATCTGTAGTTCTAGCTACTGGGAAGGCCGAATCCAGAGAACCACCTGAGCCCAGGAAGTTGAGGCTACAGTGAGCTATGATCACACCGCTGCACTCTAGTCTGGCATGATCTCAAAAAAGAAAATCCATATATTTGGAAATTAAGTAGTATACTTTTAAGTAACCCATGAGTCAAAAACAAAACTATGGAAATGAGAAAATAACTAATGTAAGTAGAAAATACTTGTGTCTAAAAATTGACATTGAGTTAAGTAAAGGACACCCTTCTATGCTATTGGAGGGAGTGTAAATTGGCACAGCCATTATGGTAAACAGTATGGAGATTCCTCAAAAAATCGAAAATAGAACTACCATATGATCCAGCAATTGCATCACTGGGTGTATATCCAAAGGAAATGAAATCAGTATCCAAAGAGATACCTGCCCTCCCATGTTCATTGTAGCATTGTTCACAGTAGCCAAGATACGGAAACAGCCTGAATGCATTATTCAACCTTAATAAAGAAAGAAATCAATCTTTTAAAATTGAAGGGAAAAGACAGGGAATCCTGCCATTTACTACAGCATGGATGAAACTAGAGGATATGCTGAGAAATAGGCCAGACACAGAAACGAAAATACTACATGATTTTGCCCATATGTGCAATCTAAAAATGTTAAACTCACAGAGAGAGTAGAATGGTGCTAACAGGGTGGATGTTAGAGTATACAGAATTTCAGTTTTAAGATGAATGAGTTCTGGAAATCTAATGTATAACATAGTGACTGTAGTTAATAATAATGTATTGTATTGTATTACTTTTAATGGCAAAAAGCACAATTACTTTTGCACCAGCCTAATACCTATAGTCCCAGGCAATTCAGAGGCTGAGGTGGGAGGATAGCTTGAGCCCAGGACTTGGAGGCTTCAGTGAGCTATGACCTAGCCTGGGCAACAAAGCAAGACCCTGTCTCTAAAATAAAATATTGTGTACTTGACATTTTCTAAGAAAATAAATCTTAAATGTTCTCACCAGAAAAACAGAAGGGGAAGTAACTGTGAGATCATAAATAGGTTAATTAGCTTGATTGTGATAATTACTTCACAATGTAAATGTACATTGTGTACACCTAAATATATACAGGTTTTTTTTTCTTTTTTTTTTGAGACGGAGTCTCGCTCTGTTGCCCGGGCTGGAGTGCACTGGTGCAATCTTGGCTCACTGCAAGCTCCGCCTTCTGGGTTCACGCCATTCTCCTGCCTCAGCCTCCTGAGTGGCTGGGACTACAGGCACCCGCCACCATACCCCGCTAATTTTTTTGTATTTTTAGTAGAGACGGGGTTTCACTGCGTTAGCCAGGATGTTCTCGATCTCCTGACCTCATGATCCGCCCGCCTCGGCCTCCCAAAGTGCTGGGATTACAGGCACGAGCCCCTGCACCCTGCCAATATATACAGTTTTTATTTGCCATTTATTTGCCGGTCATCTCTCAAGCTGAGGAGAAAATGATTTAAAAAATACTTATAGGCTGGATGCGGTGGCTCATACCTATAATTCCAGCATCTTGGGAGGCCGAGGCAGGAGGATCACTTGAGCCCAGGAGTTTGAGACTGGCCTAGGAAACATGGTGAAACCCCATCCCTACGCATAATACAAAAGTTAATCAGGCCTGGTGGCACACACCTGTAGTCCCAGCTACTCAGGAGACTGAGGTGAGAGGATTGCTGGAGCCGGGAAGTCGAGGCTGCTGTGAGCTATGATTACTCCACTGCACTTCAGCCTGGGTGAGAGAACAAGAACCTGTCTCAAAAAAACAAAAGTCAGCCAGGTGTGGTGGCTCACGCCTGTAATCCCAGCACTTTAGGAGGCTGAGGTGGGTGGATCATGAGATCAGGAGTTCAAGACCATCCTGGCCAACATGGTGAAACCCCGTCTCTACTAAAAATAAAAGAAATTAGCTGGGTGTGGTGGCGCACGCCTGTAATCTCAGCTATTCGGGAGGCTGAGGCAGGAGAATCACTTGAATGCAGGAGGCGGAGGTTGCAGTGAGCCGAGATCACCCCACTGTACTCCAGCCTGGGCGACAGAGTGAGACTCCGTCTCAAAAATGAAAAATAAAAGTACTTATGTCTAAAATTTTGAGGTCACTGTTAATGTCCTTTTTGAATGGAAACATGCAGCCTTAAATGCACAAATTGGGAAAGAAGAAAGGCTGGAATATCAGTGACCCTAGAAAGCACAACAAATTATACCCTAAAAAAGTAGAAAGATGGAATAATTAGGAGTAAAATTAGTGAAATGGAAAGATATGTTATAGAAAGGACCAAGAAACGCAAAAGTTGGTTATTTGAAAAGACTGAAAAAATTCATGAACCTGTGAAAACAGTGGTCAAGAAGAAAAGAGAGGCATATTTTGATCTCTGTTTTACATGTTACTCAATGTTCATTGCTGCCTCCCTTGTCCATAAAGTGCCTTTAGTGTGTATGTTACTTTAGATTATCTTGGTGTCATCAAGCTTTACTCAGCAAAGAACCACTTTGTTGTCTACTTTAAAACATAGTTATCTTTAAAAGAATGGGTATCTTTATAGTTCCATATTAATGGCGAGAAACTGCAGGTAACAGTGCCTTACCAGCTGGTTTTGCTAACTTTTCTCTATTTTGTAGGTGGTGTCGGGTTTGACATCAACTGTGGTGTCCGCTTGCTAAGAACCAATTTAGATGAAAGTGATGTCCAGCCTGTGAAGGAGCAACTTGCCCAAGCTATGTTTGACCACATTCCTGTTGGGGTGGGGTCAAAAGGTGTCATCCCAATGAATGCCAAGTAAGAGCACACGTTTCCAGTACATGGTATGGGAGGGATAATAACCACATGACCTTCAGCTTCCTTTCCAGTGCAGTACACTTGAGAGATGAGGATTGTTCAGTTACTTTTCAGGAAGTAGTAAGAACTGTTTTTTTAAGCATGAGGTACAGCCCATTTATTGGAGACATTAGTCAACCGATGTTATAACAGCCTTTGACATAGAGTAGTATTTATAATAACATCATATCCACCAACGTTTATTGAGCACTTTCTATGTGTAAGGTGCTGAGCATCATATCATTTCATCCAGACAATAACCCTATTATCTTCCCTAACTTACAAGAAAGAAAACTGAGGTTTAGAGAGGTAATAAGCTTAGTGCCAGGTGTGGTTGGGTTTACAGAATCCCAACACTTTGGGAGGCCAAGGCAGGAGGATCACTTGAGTCCAGGAGTAAAAGATGAACCTAGGCAACATAGATCTCGTCTCTAAAAAAAAAAAATTAACTAGGCATGATGGCTTGTGACTGTAGTCCCACCTACTCAGGAGGCTGAAGCAGAAGGATCCCTTGAGAGACCAGGAGTTCAAGGCGGCAGTGTGCTGAGATCTCAGTACTGCACCCCAGCGTGGGCAACAGAGTGACCCTGTCTCAATTAAAAAAAAAAAAAAAAAAACTTAGTAGGTGATATCAGGATTCAAACCAAAGATCCTTTGACTTCAGAAGCTGTATTCTGAATCCTACTGCCTTTTGTCATTAAGCCTATTTAACCCCAACCTTCCTCTTTGAATGATAGCACTGGATGTGTTCTTTGGTAAGTAGAGGATTAAATATAATGCTATAGTGTATCTCTCAGATGGCCATAGATTTTACCGTGTCATAGCTTATGCAAAGCAGTGCACCCTAAACTTTGCAGAGTACTTCAGTAGCAGAATAGTGTGCTAGCTATGTTTCTTTAATATTTTGCTTTATCCTTCAAATTTATGTGAACTTTGCATTATAATTAATAGAAAAAAATGTTTTTAGCTGTTACTTGTAATGTTATTTAACTCCCCCTAACCAAAAAAAATACCTAAGTAAAATCAATATACTTGGATGATGCGTGGTCTGTGATTTCACATGATCCCTGACATGCAGCCCCAATTTGAAAAGCATACGTGGAACACACAAATTCCAAACATCTTTATAAACATTTTAGATAGGAATTTTGTCTACTAATACTGAAATGGGTCTACTCTGGGCACACTGCCTATGGGGTGACCCTGCTCTGCAAGGAGCAGTAAAAAATAATAACAAAATGAAATAATGATAGTGAAATGGGCTGTCATCTGGGGTAGTGGGGAGAGAACATTGAAAAGTGTAGTTTTTCCTGGCAGTGTTTTAGAAGAGAGCTGGACCTTGGATGAAGATTAAAGCTTGTACCCTCTAAGGGTTTAATGTACGTGTACCTCAGCTTCAAAATGGAGGTGCCGTAAGCCACTCAGAACTTCTGTGAAGATGGGAAAACAGCTTAAAATTTAACCTGTGTTGCCTGAGGAATTCTAGATACCTTCATTTATTTGACCGTAATTCATAAATGATTAAGGTGTGTACCTGGTTGAATTAGTCGTTAGAGAGTGATAGCTGATTAAGGTTACAGAGTTGTTGTTGTTGTTTTTTGTTTTGTTTTGTTTTTGTCTGTTTAATCACTACCTCATGGAATTCAGGATCAGAGAGGCAAAACTGAATATAAAAAAGATTTGAAAATTAACAAGGAGCAGTATAAATGTCAAGTAGAACTATAATGATGTCTAATAGGGCATTTATCATTTTATATTGGAATTATTTATATGACTGCATTCCTCAAAAAACCAGTTACTGAGAGCTTAAACTTTGTATCTGACTCAAGGCTTGGAACACAGGAGATAGTAAATGTCGAGTTTTTCTCTGCCCTTTAAGGATGTGGTCATCCTTAGGTTTTGATCTGCCTTTGCTGTGAGATGACTAGCACCTTTTATACTTATCCAGAGACTTGGAGGAGGCCTTGGAGATGGGGGTGGACTGGTCCTTAAGAGAAGGGTATGCCTGGGCTGAAGACAAGGAGCACTGCGAGGAGTACGGAAGGATGCTGCAGGCTGACCCCAATAAAGTTTCTGCAAGGGCGAAGAAAAGAGGCCTTCCTCAGGTAACTCACTTTGGAGGGGCAACATGTTAATTTTTTTTTCATATTTTGTTTTTATTGGGGGAAAAAAATCTATATCTTACATTTAGCAAACATATTCCCAGGTTTTTTTATGGTATATCAAAAAATACAAATTTGTTTATGCTTCATTTTTATTCTAAAAAAACTATCAGGGCTGGATGCGGTGGCTCACACCAGCTTTGAGAGGCCAAGGAGGAAGGTTCGCTTGAGGCCAGGAGTTCGAGACCAGCCTGGGCAACATAAGAAGACTTAGTCTCTACAAAAATTAAAAAAAAAAAAAATTAGCCAGGCATGGTGGCACATGCAAGTAATCCCAGCTACTCAGAAGGCTAAGACAGGAGGACTGCTTGAGCCTAGGAGTTTGAGGCTGCAGTGAGCTGTGATCACGCCAGTGCACTCCAGCCTGGGTGACAGAGCAATCAGGAGCTTGCAAATGTTCATAAAATAAGAAATAATGAATTAGAAGTGAATGGGAGAAAAATAGAATATGTTTATCAGGTTCATACGTCAAAATTACATATATACATATTTTGACAGTCTACAGATGGTATCCATGAGATAAGAATATACTAGATGTTTGAAATTACAGCTAGTTGTGAAGGCTTTGCCACTAATTCAGTGTGACACGTGGGCAAGACTGTCTTCTCTGGATCTCATTTTCTTATGGAAAACTGGGATGGTTAAAACTAGGCAACCTCTAAAGACTCTTCCAGCACTGACATTCTCTAGTTCTCTAAATCATCTATTAATATTAGCTGTAGTTGTGGTATATGTTCTTTCAGTTATAAATAATGGTGGATGTCCATGAACTCATAGATGTTTCAAAATCATTTGAACTTGGACCTTGTCTAAGAGTCAACATTTACCAACATTTATCCCAAAATTTGACTCTTTGTGATGTTTAAAATATCCCATGAACCATTTAAAAGCTTGATTTTTTTTGTTTATGAAGCTTTTTTTAAAAAATTAATTTATTTACTTTAAGTTCTGGGATACATGTGCTGGTTTGTGACATAGGTATACATTTGCCATGGTGGTTTGCTGCACCTGTCAGTCCATCATCTAGGTTTTAAGCCCCACGTGCATTAGGTATTTGTCCTAATGCTCTCCCTCCCCTTTCCTCCCACTCCTCGACAGGCTCTGGTATGTGATGTTCCCCTCCCTGTGTCCATGTGTTCTCATTGTTCAGCTCCCACTTATGAGTGAGAACCCGTGGTGTTTGGTTTTCTGTTCCTGTGTTAGTTTTTTATATGTGTATACCAAGCATATAATGATATAACAAAATTCAGGAGCTAGTCTACGTTATTTTGTTGTGTAGAATATTGTAAATGAAACACTTCTATAGCTTAGGAATTTTTTTGTTACTGAAACACTATTTGTATGTTTATTTTGTTGTTAGTTTGTTTTTATCTTTTTGGTTTTTAAATAGATTAAAAAAAAAACTGGAATAAAAACTATCTTACCAGACATTTTTACATTTGCAGTTGGGGACCCTGGGAGCAGGCAACCATTATGCAGAAATCCAGGTTGTGGATGAGATTTTCAATGAGTATGCTGCTAAAAAAATGGGCATCGACCATAAGGGACAGGTGTGTGTGATGATCCACAGTGGAAGCAGAGGCTTGGGCCACCAAGTAGCCACAGGTATATTCTAGACTTTGTGCTAAAATGTACATTTTATGGGCAACCAGATAGAAATTTAAGAGCGAAAACTCTGAAATATACTGCATGGGTTTTATCCTGAGTCCTCAACAATTAAATAACTTGGACAAATTCACTGGGCCATAACTTTCTTGTCTAAAAAAATGAGTATAATAGTTATTTCATATAGAATTATCATGGAAAGTTAATAATATATGTAAAGCACTTAATGTTTGACATTAGTAAACACTCAATAAATGTTAGTTGCAGTTATTGTTATGTTTACTCTTATGAGTTACTATCTGGCCAAGAAAGAGCAAGAAATGTGTAAAGAGTGGAATTTATGAAATAGGCTTTCATTTGGCAGATTATGTATCATATACCTGCTCTGCAACAGTAGATGTGATGGTGGATTTGCTGATGAAAGAGGCAGATACTTTGCACTCAAATTGTCTCATGAAGTAAAGGTCATGTCCATTTAAAAGAAAAAATAAATATTAAAAGGTAGCAATTAATTATATAGGAGAGTCAAACAAAACACATTTAAGAAAAAGATTTTGGAGATGGCTTCATGGACCCAGTGTTGAGCTGGATCTCACAGTTTGGACAATTACACACAAAGACTGGTGACAAAGGCAGCATGAACAAAAGCAGGAAGCAGCGAAATATTGGATAGGTCCTTTTGGATAGCTTGGAGGGTGTGTGAAATAATGTATGAATTGTGACGGTTACTACAGGACTGAATGAAGCGGGATGAACGCAGAAATGAAAACAAAAAACAAAAGAAACTTTTAAAGAAGGAGTCAGGGGCTTCTTGCTTCTAGTGAGCTTCCACAGCCCTTTGTATTTATTGGGTAGAAAGAGCAGGGAGGAGGAGGTAACTATTGGTCAGCTGCTTGATTGATCCCAGGTTCATATTATTGCTAACAGGCTTCACATGTGCCTGTCACAAGAAACACTTGTGCCTGGGGCGTGGCTGCCCTCAGCATTCCTTCTGGGCAACAGACGCAGTTGTCAGCTTGCCAGCATCTTGCATTCATAAGAACAGTTTGCTGTTTACTCATAGCCTCCAGTGGTATACTGAGTTGTTCACGACCCTCATTCTTTCGGCCTCCAACAGCGAATCAATGAAAAGGTATATAGATGCCTGGAAATTGTTATAAGCTTAAAATTCCATGTTACAGATCAGCCTCTAGTCCATTTTATTGTGTGAGAATTTAATAATTTGTGCCAGCCTGACCCTCTAGACTATTTAACCTAGCAGATGTACGAAGTGTCAACTAGTGTTTCAGAACATTCCCCTGAGTACTTCTCTGCATTTTGTCATGGATTTGATTAATCATGAAGGCAACAAAATGTATTTTGCTACTACTATTCCCATGCATTCACATATTGAGAAAGGAGTAATGAAGACCATCTTGTGGCTATTTGTTTACACATCCCATTCTCTTTCAAGTTCCTAGAGGGCAAATGTTGACTTTGTGTCCCACAAACTGTCACTGCACTCTGAAAGATTCTCAAGTACGTCTTGACTGAGCAAATAGATGAACTCAGAAACACATTAAAGGGAAAGTTGGCTTTCATTGGGTTTTTTTGTGGAATGAATTTGAATGTAGCCTACCTTTCTGCAGTAAATCTGAACTGTTCATTTAAGGGAAAGCTAACTGGTTTGGACTTTGTGGCTCTTGTTCCAGATGCGCTGGTAGCTATGGAGAAGGCCATGAAGAGAGACAAGATTATAGTCAATGATCGGCAGTTGGCTTGTGCTCGAATCGCTTCCCCAGAGGGTCAAGACTATCTGAAGGGAATGGCAGCTGCTGGGAACTATGCCTGGGTCAACCGCTCTTCCATGACCTTCTTAACCCGTCAGGTACAGTAGAAGTTGCTCTTCTGTTCCGAGTCATTCATGATGATGTTAAGTGCTTTAAAACATAGTGCAGTCCAGGCTGGACACGGTGGCTCATGCCTGTAATCCCAACACTTTGGGAGGCCGAGGGGGGGCGGATCACAAGGTTAGGAGATCCAGACCATCCTGGCTAACACGGTGAAACCCCGTCTCTACTAAAAATACAAAAAATTAGCTTAGCTGGTCGTCGTGGCGGGTGCATGTAGTCCCAGCTACTCGGGAGGCTGAGGCAGCAGAATGGTGTGAACCTGGAAAGTGGAGCTTGCAGTGAGCCGAGATCGTGCCACTGCACTCCAGCCTGGGTGACAGAGTGAGACTCCTGTCTCCAAAAGAAAAAAACATCGTGCAGTCCAGTCAAAGCCTATGGTGTTTGGTTTTGGAAATTCACATAGTTAACTTTCAAAATACCAGAGAAGTGTCCAAGGTTTTGGTGTTGTCTTAAACTAAATCATCAGAGTATCAGGCATGAGAAATGAGAGCAGAGAATCAAAATTATTCCTAGAATTTGTCTTGAACAGCATAGAGAATAAAAGTGCCACTGACTAAGATTCAGAAGGCTGAGAAGAAGCAATTTTGAAAGGTGGGATCAAAAGTTGCCCAGCAGCTTTTCAACTAAAGATGAAAATGATGTGGTGGCATTTCCTGTGTGGTCTAAAGGACAGCTTTTGTCCTTTACGTGAAGATAATCTTACGGCTACTTTTGAACTTTTAAATCTTTTACTCCCTTCAGAACAGACTACCTGAAACCAGTGAGATGAGTCACGAAGAGCTGAACATAAGTCCTGAAGTTCTGGCTGCTTTTATCTTCTGTGTTTTCTCCTAGGCTTTCGCCAAGGTCTTCAACACAACCCCTGATGACTTGGACCTACATGTGATCTATGATGTTTCTCACAACATTGCCAAAGTGGAGCAGCATGTGGTGGACGGAAAGGAACGGACACTGTTAGTACACAGGAAGGGATCCACCCGCGCTTTCCCTCCTCACCATCCCCTCATTGCTGTTGATTACCAAGTACGTAGCTCTACGTTTGTAGTTTTAAGCAGTGGGGGCACGATTTAGATTGTTGCAAATGTGAATTACATTTAAAACGAAAAGCAGCAATTGTGAAAAGAAAATACTCTGTCACTCATGAGAACAGTGATTCCCAATCTTCTCTGAAGCAGTAACTCCTTCCCCCATCATTTGTGCTTGCGGTGGTGCCGTGTGCTATAGCAAGTGCTGCAGGAAGTGTATTTTACTCCACTACCGTGAATTGAGGCCTTTGAATTAGTGGAAGACAGGAGTAACTCAGTTACAGAAGACAGAGTAAACTCAGTCTGTTTCATTCCTCCTGTCCTCTTGGTGTCTGGCTGTGGTGGAGTTCGAAAGACCCCATAGTCTGCTTGCTCCTTTTACAGATGAGAAACCCAAAACAGAGAAGACAAGCACCTTGCTCAGGATGGTGGTTCTAGCAACACTTCTCTACACTTTTGGATTTTGCTTTGCTCTTATTTTGACTCTTCTGCATTTTTACTGGTCCTCAGATTTTCACTCTCGTCCTCTTCCTTCCCCTCCGATTTATCAAAGAATCAAAGTACTATCTTAATATAGTTTACTAGCCGCGCGTTTAGAAGTCTGGGTTTCTCCGGCCGGGTGTGGTGGCTTACGCCTGTAATCCCAGCACTTTCGGAGGCCAAGGCGGGCAAATCACGAGTTCGGGAGATCGAGACCATCCTGGCTAACATGGTGAAACTCCGCCTCTACTAAAAATACAAAAAATTAGCTGGGCATGGCAGCAGGCGCCTGTGGTCCCAGCAACTCGGGAGGCTGAGGCAAGAGAATGGCGTGAACCCAGGAGGCGGAGCTTGCAGTGAGCCGAGATCCCGCCACTGCACTCCAGCCTGGGCGACAGAGCAAGACTCCCATCTCAAAAAAAAAAAAAAGAAGTCTGGGTTTCTCCTACAATCCTACAGTGCAAGAGAAAATTTAAATTTTATGCATAAAAAGCCTATGTTTTTCTGAATTTTAACATGTTTGATTTATGTGCATCCTCAGCTCACTGGACAGCCAGTGCTCATTGGTGGCACCATGGGAACCTGTAGTTATGTTCTTACTGGCACTGAACAGGGCATGACTGAGACCTTTGGAACAACCTGTCATGGAGCGGTAAGGAAAACAGAAACTTCCTTAGAAATGCTCTCTTCAGTTTAGCTATGGTTTTCCATTTTGACTGGTAAATGTAGCTGATTGAACATTAACAGAGTTGAGACTTGGGCCTATCATGTCTTGTACTTCAAATTGTTCCCCATAATGTATACTATTTAGTGAACTGACTGGGGTCACCTAGTATCTCTGCCTCAGTGAGATCTGGTAGGGTTAGGGACCGTTTCTTATCTCTGCAAGTCCAGAAAATCCAGACTGGGAAATTGTCACACTAGCTGAGCTTACTGTCTGGTTTATAAGTGATAGAACTTTAACTGATGCAAATATCACAGTTGATCTCAGCGACTGACTGGACCTGCTCCTTTGTTTAATTTGCCCCTTCCTATTGTGTAGGTCCACGCAAGATTGGAAGGATAGGCCCTATTTGCAAATTAGAGCCCATGTACAGTCTACACACACACCCATTTCAAAACACTGCCTCTCATCTTCTAAGCCCAGGGGTCAGGAAACTCTTCCCATAAAGGGCCAGACCGTAAATATTTTAGGCTTTTGGGACCAGATGGTCTGTGTACCAGCTATTCAGCTATGCCATTTCAGTGCAGAAGCAACCTTAAGTACTGTGTAAATGGGCAATGCTGTGTTCTAATAGAACTATTTTAGGCCAGGCATGGTTGCTCACACTTGTAATTACAGCACTTTGGGAGGCCAGGGCAGGAGGAGCACTTGAAGCCGGGAATTCAAGACTAGACTGGGCAACATTAGCAAGACACCGTCTCCACAAAAACTTTTTAAATTAGCCGGGTGTGGTGGCACACCTGTAGTCATAGCTACTCAGGAGGCTAAGGCAGGAGGATTGCTTGAGCCCAGGAGATTAAGGCTGCAGTGAGCTATGATTATGTCACTTCACTCCAGTCTGGGTGACAGAGGGAGACCCTTTCTCAAAAAACAAAATAGTTTATTTTAAAAAGCAGGTGGTGGGCCATATTTGGCCCATACACCGTAGTTTGCCGGCCCCTTTTCTAAGCCATCCAGAGTGTTGAGCCAGTGTTGAAATGGGAAAGAGAAACTGTCTAGAGTACCTTCTCCTAGGACAGACCTTCACAAATGTATTTAATCCTACTTTTTTTTCTGATTGTTTCTCATTTCTAGCTGCCTCCCAACTCCTAATTTTAACCCAGTAGTTTTCAACAAAGGAGATCCCCCTACCGCCATGGGGACATTGACAATTTCTGGAGGCTTTTTTTATTGTCATGGTTTAGTGGGAGTTGCTATTGGCATTTAGTGGGTCTTAGAGGCGAGGGATGCTGCTGAATACACTGCGCTGCGCTGCTGAATACCCTGCATAGGACAGCCTCCCAACAAAGAATTCTCCGGTCCAAAATCTAAAAGGATATGATGAGGTTTAAAAGGCCTGTTACCAATTCGATAAAGTAAAAAAGATGTTTTTTTAAGCTCCTTTTTAGTGTGAGAGAAAATCAGGGAAAGGGCTTATCATCTTAGGGTTTAAAGTAAAGTTCATTCCTTTCCCATTCTAGGGCCGTGCATTGTCCCGAGCAAAATCTCGACGTAATTTAGATTTCCAGGATGTCTTAGACAAATTGGCAGATATGGGAATTGCGATCCGTGTTGCCTCACCCAAACTGGTTATGGAAGAGGTAAGTGAAATTTTGATAAATACATGAATATTTATTGTTCCCCATTTGTAATTTGTTCCAGTCTACAGAGACAGCAATTTAGGGTGTTACTAACAGAAATTGTTTGGGTTATTTTTTTTTATGACCTCAATTTTGGCTTATCTTCCTTGGATTAGCTTATTTCAGTTTTATGTTTTCATTTCTTTTGGTTAAAATTACGAGCCAAGTCCTTAAGAATGATTTTTACTGTTCATTTATAGTCTCCATCTACATATTAAGCTTTTCAAGAGTAGTTTGAGCTGACTCTTGTTTTTGCACAATTGTATACTTAGGTTTCAATTTGAAAGCAAATTTGAAAAAGGAAGGCATAAATGTTTGGAGAAAGTTTTATTTGATTCACAGGAGAACAGATTTTGTTTAAATTCTGTATATATGTTTACATATATGTACATATTTAAATTAAAAGCAATATAATTCCTTAATGATTTAAGAGAAAAGAAAAACAGTCATCCAAAAACTCAATGCCCTGACACAGTTATTACCTTATCTTTTAGAATACTTATTATTGTCGGCCGGGCGTGGTGGCTCACGCCTGTAATCACAGCATTTTGGGAGGCCGAGGTGGGCAGATCACATGAGGTCAGGAGTTTGAGACCAGCCTGATCAACATGGTGAAACCCCTACTAAAAATACAAAAATTAGCTGGGCATGGTGGTGGACACCCATAATCGCAGCTACTCAGGAGGCCGAGACAGGAAAATCACTTGAATCCGGGAGGCAGAGGTTGCAGTGAGCCAAGATCATGCCACTGCACTCCAGCCTAGATGACAAAGTAAGACTCCGTCTCAAAAAAAAAAAAAAAAAATTTACTTATTGTCATAGTTTTTTCCTAAATGCTTTTTTTAAAGCTAGTCTTAATTATAGTTAAGAAACATTCTGTAGTTATTTTTAAAATTTTGCACATTATTATAAAATTGTTTGTGTCACTTTTTAAAATCATTGCTGAATATTCCACCAGCTGAGTACCTTACTTTCTGCCTGTAGTGGACATTTAAGTAGCTTCCAAATTTTTGCTACTATAAATTAAATTGTAATGAGTGTCTTCATGCATGAAGGTTTTTTCCAGTTGTTATAGTAATTAGAACAAAGTCTCAAAAGTGGAGTTACATGGTGGCTCATGCCTATAATCCCAGTACTTTGGGAGGCCAATGCAGGAAGATCTCTTGAGGCCAGGAGTTCAAGATTAGTTTGGCCAAAGATTAGCCAGGTGTAGTCCTAGCAACTCAGGAGACTGAAGCTGGAGGATTGCTTGAGCCCAGGACCTTGAGGTTACAGTAAGCTATGTGATTGTCCAGACTTGGTGCAAAGCAAGACCCTATCTCTAAAAAAAAATAAGGAAAAAAAGTGGAATTACTGAGTCAGAGTATGACAAAGACTTATTTTTTTTAATAACAATTCATTTTTCCCCTGATCTTAAGAATACATGGTTAATTTAAAAGATTTGGAATATACTGGCCAGGTGCAGTGGCTCAGGCCTGTAATCCCAGCATTTTGGGAGGCTGAGGCGGGTGGATCACAAGGTGAGGAGATCAAGACCATCCTGGCTAACACGGTGAAACCCCATCTCTACTAAAAATACAAAAAATTAGCCGGGCGTGGTGGCGGGCGCCTGTAGCTCTAGCTACTCGGGAGGCTGAGGCAGGAGAACGGCGTGAACGCGGGAGGCGGAGCTTGCAGTGAGCCGAGATCGCGCTACTGCACTCCAGCCTGGGCGACAGAGCAACACTCCATCTCAAAAAAAAAAAAAGGATTTGGAAAATACAAAGGAGAAAACAGAAAACATTTAGAATTCAATCAGCCAGAAATAATTACAGTTAAAATTTGGATTTTTGGTTTTTTGGTTTTGTTTTGTTTTTTCACCTGCAACACGTGATTATTTGATTCACTTACTCAGCTAACACGTACTAACCATCCGCTATAGTTAGGTACTGTTCTATATGCTAGAGATACTGCAGTGAACAAAAGAAACACGAGTCCCTTCGTTGTGGAGCTTTCCAAATAATAAAACATACAGTGTGTTAATGACCATGCAAGTTCTATGAAATAAAAAGCAGGGAAAGGTGGTAAGGAAAGGTGGGAAGGGGTACAGTTTTAAGCAGGTGGTCGGAGAAGACTTCAGTGAGGTGACAGTAGAGCAAAGACCTGAAGAGAGAGAGGAAACAGGCTACCTGGGCATCTGGAGGTGAGCTTTCGAGGCAGAGAGAACAGCAAGCGCAAAATCTGTGAGCTGAGGTTATGAAGGAGTGTTCAAGAAACAGCAAGGAGGCCAGGCATGACAAGAGCAAGCCAGAGGGAGATGAGGTCAGAGAGGTAGGGGGCGCCAGAGCATTTGGACTTTTGCTTTTACTCTGATTAAAATGAAAAAACCTTGGAGGATTTTGAGCAGAATAGTGACGTGATCTGACAAATGTGTTTGCATGTTGATGAGAAGAATCTACAAGAGAAATTAATGATGCAGAAAAGAGGGAGGAAATTGCTGGAGAAGTGTCCTTGAATAGATGAGAGGAGATAGAGTCTGATGTACAAGTGGATGGGGTTGGTCTTTGCTAGGAGCACAGATAATTCATCCTTTATAAAAGGAGAGAAGAAGCTGAGCACAGTGGCTCACACCTGTAATCCCAGCACTTTCGGGAGGCTGAGGTGAGAGTATCGCTTAAAGCCAGGAGTTTGAGACCAGCCTGAGCTACAAAGCAAGACCCCATCTCTACAAAAATAAAAAAAATTAGGCACAGTGGCACATGCCTGTAGTCTCAGTGAGCTATGATTGTGCCACTGGACTCAACCTTGGGTGACAGAGTAAAAAAATAAAAGGAGAGAAGGTATAGATACAGATATGTGGGGAAGATAAAGTTAGCATGTTTATGAATATTCTGGCTGCTTCTATTTTTTTCAGTGTATTACATAGTAAGGTCAGCAAGTGAGAGTGGGATCTGAGAAAAGGTATGAAATATTCATCTAGGGGAGAGACAGTCATTGGCCCAGTGGAATTTCATCTGATTGCCAGGAGCTAGAAATCGCCAAGTAGTACTGGGGAGTGATTCAGGCTCCCACAGATAACTACAGCCAAAGGTAGTTTGTGGTACGATGTAATGACTGCAAGATTCAAAACTAGGAGTGCCTAGGGAGAACGGGAGAATAGAAACAACCATGAAAGCCAGGAGCACACCTGTCCCACTTCTGGGACCAATGGCATGACCTGATTTGGGGAAAACAGCAGTCACCATTCAGAAAGTTGGAGATGAAAGTGGTATCCTCGGGAAAGATCCGTGTTTCAGTAAAACAAGAAGGTGAAGGGAACATTCAAAGAAGAAGGGAGGGAGGGGATTTTGCTCCTTCTGGAAGGAGTTCCAGAGGCCACAGTGGGAAAGTTTCAGAAACTGGAAGGGAATGGGAGATGGGATAGAAAAGGATATTATGTACAGAACCGTACGGGAATCAGCATGGATGGCCTAAGCTTGTATTGACAGGAATGAAGATAAAGTGAGTGTGTGATGAGATTAGTGCTAATGGTGGCAAGGCTGTGTGGGTAGGATGGAATGGTGGGAATGTTGCTGGAAAGTCACAGAAATTGTCTGTGAGTGTAGGTACACATAGATACCCACATATACATGTGCACACAGTTTTACTTTGTTTTATACATATATGAATTTTATAACTTACTGTGAAGGTACTACATGTTCATTCCAGAAATTTTGATAACTGCAGAAATATATAAAGGAAGAAAATTAAAATTGCCAGTAATTCTACCATCAAGAGATAATTATCACTAACATATGATGGTTGGGTGCCGTTTCTTCCAATCAGGTTCTGGTGTGTGTTTTATTTACTTACATTTACTACATTTCCTAGTTATACAAGTAATACATGTTCTTTAAAGACATTTTGAAAAATACAGAAAAAAAAAAAGGTGAAAGTGTTTTGGAAATCAGCACTGACCAACATCAGGCTTACTTCTTTTTTAAATTTTTGCTAATTTCATAGGCAAAAAAAAACTCTCTGTATTATTTTAGTGTGCATTTATTTCATCACAAGTGAAGTTTGGTGCTTGTAAAGACTGTGTTTTCAGTGGACTTGTACAATGTTTAAATTCCTCTCCTGCAGGCTCCTGAGTCCTATAAGAATGTGACAGATGTGGTAAATACCTGCCATGATGCTGGAATCAGCAAGAAAGCCATTAAACTGAGACCAATTGCTGTGATCAAAGGATAGAACCTTGGACAGCAGGGCTGCCTGACACCACCAACCCTCTCTGAAGTGGAAGTGGACTGACATGCTCTTCTGACATCAGACTCAAGGCGGGACAAGTTGCAAAGTGTGCAGCTGTAACTGCTCACGCCAAAATGGCTGATGGGGAGGCTGCTGCTTTCAGGGGCCCGTGCTTGTAAAATAACCTTCCAGGAAGAGGCACATTGCCCACCTTTGGAAAGGGAGGAATATGCCTTCTCCTTGGTTGTTCCACAGAGTTTTAGGAAAATCTGTTAGGGATGGGTAGATGTCAAACTGCCTTACGCAGTCATACTGATCTTTAGCCATCAGATTGATCTTCTTCACACCAAGCTCTGTTTACATTCCGAGAGGTGTCATGAAGAAAGTTCTGTTCAATAAGGTTTTGGAATGTTTCCTTTCGTCTGTTGCTTTGTCAGTTTGTCCATTCATCCACCCATTTAGGCATCACCCCTGCACTCAGCAAAACCCTAAATACCCCTCTTACTTGGAGAGCACCCAGGGAGTTGTAATCAGGCTGTTAGATGAATGGATAGTGGAACACATTGAAGAGGGAGTATGGGGAGGTTTAAGGAATAGCGGCCCAAAAGACAAAGTCTTCATAGCTTTACTACCTTTCTTATTCTAAATACACGGCAGAGTTTTTGTATCCATGGGGCCGGGTGAACAAAATGGAGGTAGGTGGTGGTGCTGGTGATGGAGGGCACAGCAGAACCAGAGGCCTGGCCTCCCTCCTACACATGCCTTGCAGGGCTTTTTTTTTTTTTTTTTTTTTTGAGACTGAGTCTCGCTCTGTCACCCAGGCTGAAGTACAGTGGCGGAATCTCGGCTCACTGCAAGCTCCGCCTCCCAGGTTCACGCCATTCTCCTGCCTCAGCCTCCCGAGTAGCTGGGACTACAGGCGCCCGCTACCATGCCCAGCTAATTTTTTGTATTTTCAGTAGAGATGGGGTTTCACCGTGTTAGCCAGGATGGTCTTGATCTCCTGACCTCGTGATTCGCCCGCCTCAGCCTCCCAAAGTGCTGGGATTACAGGCGTGAGCCACCGCGCCTGGCCCTTGCGGGGCTTTTTATTGTGGTTCTGGGCCCCTGGCTTGTTGCTTCCTGTGTAGAGGACAGCCCCACTCCAGCCCCAGCCATCTGTGCTGTCTTGATAGGGGCAGACCTGGCCATGCAGCAGGGCTATACAGACCCTTGCGGGCCCCGGCTTCCTACTGACATTCTCTTCCCAAAGGCCCTGGCACACAGTGCTGAGCACCTGGGCACTCACAACTGCAGCTCCAGGCAGATGTGTGAGCAGGTTGCCCATCAAAACTCCAGCTCTGGGCCACTTGGTGCTTGGGTTGGGAGAGGCAGATGTGGCATGGAGGACAGGCAGAGATAGGAAACCCCTGTGCTGGGAATGGTTCTCTTGGGGGTCGGCCCTGGCCATAGCCTCCCCTATATTTTACTGGGGACCTAAGGTGCCATCTACAACTCTCCTTTCCTTTTGTAGGGAAAGTCCCTAGATCTCAACTTTCTCATGGGAATCATAAGAGAGATGAGACCCAGGGTTTTTTCAGTCTCTTCCCAGCTACAGTCCACATATTTCCTCCACGTATGTTTGGAAGTCAAAAGACCCTTCAGAACCCTAAATCCACCCAGTTTATACTTGTTCCTGGGCTATGTCATCCTAGTCCCAGAACCTGGGAAGATGCCACCATACCTAGAGGAGGCCATGAGGCTGTCACATCTAACATTCTGTGGATATGACCTGCTTATGCGCTCTACTGGAAGTATCTGACACTTCAAGTAGAATTGAGGCCCAGGCATTGTCATCTGCTTTCTTTACTAAATTATGCCAAGCCACTGGAAAAGTGACTGCATAAATTACATTTTTCATATATATCTGTTGAATGAATGAACCTCAACCAGAACCTCTACAGATACCTGAGTGAGCCTGGGGCCCCTCCTTCAGGACCCAAGGGACCACTGTTCTTTCTCTGTCAAGGACAAAGACCAGTTAGAAAGAATCACAGACATCCTTTACAAATGCAAAAACAGATTTGCTTTCTGTGTGCTTTTCCAAACAGGGATATGGGCCATTGAGACAGCATGCCCAGAGCTCCATTGAAGGGAAAGATAATAAATGTGAACTATAGCATGCTCAGCAGCCTTTTCACAGAGCCAGGCACTTGGGACCTGCTTGCCATGCCTTAGGCCATTTAGTTCCCATAAGAACCCTATGAGGTTCATCTCACTGCTTTACAAAGGAGCAAACAGGCTCAGAGGGCTTCGGTGACATCCTCAAGACACAGCTAGTCGGAGACAGTCACCACTGTGAGTTGGAGGGGATGGACATTCACCTGGTAAACAGTTCCTCCATGAAGTCTGGCACGGTGATAAAGTCCCAGGAGGGGCCCAAACAGGTGGCATAGGAGGAGATGGTTCTACCCAGAAAGGCTGGAACCAGGGCCTTCACCAGTTTCTCCCCTGTACCTATCTGGAATGTTCGCACCCTGTAAGTCTCCTCATTTTCATACTGGGGTGACAAGGAGAGACCTGTCATTGACAACACCATGAACCACCAGAGGATTGGGATCTGGAGCTCACACAAGGAATCCCCAACCCTTTGGAGACTTGTGGATGTGGAGGACATGGGTTCCCATGGTGGAAAAGGTTCTAGACTTTAAAATTTGACATAAGAGTGGAGAATAGGGCGTGGTGGCTCACGCCTGTAATCCCAGCACTTTGGGAGGCTGAGGCGGGCGGATCACGAGATCAGGAATTTGAGGCCAGCGTGGCCAATATGGTGAAACCCTGTCTCTACTAAAAAAAAAAAAAAAATTAGCTGGGCTTGGCGGCATGTGCCTGTAGTCCCAGCTACTCGAGAGGCTGAAGCAGAAGAATCACATGAACCCGGGAGTTGGAGGTTGCAGTGAGCCAAGATTGCACCACTGGACTCCAGCCTGGGTGAAAAAACAAGACTCAAAAAAAAAAAAAAGTGGAGAATAATGAAAAACATTAGTGCCTTCAAGGCATCCTCACGGTGTTTGTCAGCTGTGAAGCAGTGGCACCTGCTGTATTAGTAGCCTACAAGAGCATCATCCCAGTGAGTCCTCAAAAATCATCCTCATGGTAGAGATGAGGAGACGCGGGCTTTTGGATGTCAAATGGCAGTGCAGCAGCACCTGGGTCAGAGCTGAGCACCTTCCTGGCCGGGCGTGGTGGCTCACGCCTATAATCCCAGCACTTTGGGAGGCCGAGGTGGGCGGATCACAAGGTCAGGAGATCGACACCATCCTGGCTAACACGGTGAAACCGTGTCTACTAAAAATACAGAAAATTAGCCAGGCATGGTGGCGGGCGCCTGTAGTCCCAGCTACTTGGGAGGCTGAGGCAGGAGAATGGTGTGGACCCAGGAGGCGGAGCTTGCAGTGAGCCGAGGTCACGCCACTGCACTCCAGCCTGGATGACAGAGCGAGACTCTGTCTCAAAAAAAAAAAAAAAAAAAAGAACTCAGCACCTTCCAGAGGGAGGGCTACATGAAATCCCCTCTAGGCCACCTGAAGCTCCACTTCTGATATGGAGGGAAAGGGCCTGGGGAGGCCTCGTCCCCTCCTCATTTTAGAGACAGTGCACAGGACAAGATGCTTTAGAAGAATGCTTTAACTTAAAGGAATATAATTGGATTTCATCCTTTAACATCAAAGGGAGTCTGGAGAAACAGCTAAGGCCATTTCAGCCCTTGGCAGGGGGAAAATGCCGGAAGACTCCAGGGTGGGAGAAAGCCCATCACAAGGCCCAGGATCTGAGAGGAGACTCACTTCTTCCAGGTCCAATCCCCTATGCTCCTTCCGTCCATAAGACCTACTCAAAGGCCCCACTGGGCTTCTGACCACTCACCAACCCCCTATTCTTACCTGTTCCTACCAACTTCTTACCTGTTCCAAATTATGCAAAAAAAGTGCCCCCTCGTCACCCTGGGAAGACCTGGAGGCAACTAAGGCCCTAGGTTTGAGGAGACAGTGCTGGGCCAAACCTCCTTGATCTTACCAGTTCTGTGACCCTAGAGAAGTTTTCTGGTGTTTTGGGGCCTCCCCAGCCCTGCAACATGCACAATGGGGTTTTGCTAGCATCTCCTTCCTGGTGAACTCATCAGGTGTCTTTGAGATAAATCTTATAAAACTCATTGTTTGGTGTCCCCTGTAGATACTGCACACGCTTAGAGATGGAAGAATTTCAAGAAGAAGTGAGGGGTGAGAGGTAGCATGGAATACAACTCCAATGGGCTTGGGGTCCACAGTGTGATCTCGAGAAAGGCATTTTTGCTCTGGGCCTCGTTTTCCATGCGCACCAGTAGAGGCTGAGATTATATGAAATTCAGCCCTCATCGTCCTCTGACATTGCACTTTCCAGTGCCTTCTGATTCTATTTAGAACCAGACCCTGTGCCTCATCTCAGCCTATGGTGGGCAGCGTCCGCAAGGATCACAGCACTGAGGGGTTAGTGACGCCTTTCTGAATAGAATACAACCCAGATGATGGGATAGCACTTCTATGCTAGTTCAGGCTGTTAGAGCAAAGAGCCATAGCCTGGGGAGCTCATCCCCAGGGCAGACAGAATTGTATTTCTCCCAGTTCTGGAGGCTGGAAGTCGGATATCAGGGTGCCAGCCTGGTTGGGCCCTGGTGAGGACTGTCTTCTGTGTGGCAGACTGCAGACTTCAGGTTGTGTCTTCGCCTGGCAGAGAGAGGGAGAAGAGAGCTCTCTGGGGTTCCTTTTAATAAGCCAGCAATCCCATTCATGCGGGCTCCACCCTCAGGACCTCATTACCTCCCACCTCCTGATACCATGAGATTGAGGGTTAGAATTTCAACATGTAAACATACGATCAGGCATGGTGGCTAAAGCCTAGAATCTCAGCACTTTGGGAGGTCAAGGTGAGAGGATTGCCTGAGCCCAGGAGTTTGAGAGCAACATGGGCAAAATAGGGAGCCCCTGTCCCTACAAATTAAAAAAATATATATTAGCTGAAAATGTTCGCATATTTCTGTGGTCCCAGTTGGGAGGCTAGGACAGAAGAACCACTTGAGCCTGGGAGGTGGGTGCTGCAGTGAGCCATGATGGCACCGCTGCATTCCAGTCTGGATGTCAAAGCAAGACTCTGTCTCTAAACAAGTAAATACATTTGGAGTGGGGAGCGTTCGGCTCACCATTCCTTGCCTAGGCCTCCTCCTCTTCCCAGCCTCTGGTAACCGCTATTGAACTTTCTGCTTCTAGGAGATAAATTTTTTGGATCCTGCATGCCTGAGATCATGCAGTGTAGATCTCTCTCCAACCAGGGTCATTTCATAGTTTACCTAATGTCTTCCAGCTTTCTCCACCTGGCTGCAGAGGTGATAGGATTTCCTGGAGTGTTATGGCTGAAGAGTATTTCATTATATATATATATACATATATACATATATATATATATACACACATATATATATACATATATATATATATACATACACACACACACACACACACACACACACACACACGGCATTTTCTTTATCCCTTCACCTGAGGATGGACAGATAGGTTTATTCTGTACCTTGGCTGTCGTGACTAGTGTTTCAGTCACCATGGGAAGGCAGATACCTCTTTTGAACATGAGGATTTCACTTGCTTTAAAGGTATACCCAGTGGTAGGACTGCTAGCTGAAACGGTAGTTGTATTTAGCGTTTTGAGGAACTTCCAACTGTTTTTCACAGTGTGTAGAGTGATTTAATTCCTACCTATAGTGTATGAGAGTTTTCCTTTCTGCACGTCTGCACTGGCCATCCCCTTCAAAAATTATTGTTTTTGTTTTCGTAATATGCTTTTTTTTTTTTTTTTTTGAGATGGAGTCTTACACTGTCACCCAGGCTGGAGTGCAATGGCATGATCTCGGCTCACCGCAACCTCCACCTCCCGGGTTCAAGCGATTCTCCTGCCTCAGCCTCCTGAGTAGCTGGGATTACAGGCACGTGGCACCACATCTGGCTAATTTTTTGTATCTTTAATAGAGATGAGGTTTCACCACGTTGGCCAGGCTGGTCTTGAACTCCTGACCTCATGATCCACCCCCCCTTGGCCTCCCAAAATGCTGGGGTTACAGGCATAAGCCACCACACCTGGCCTGGTAATATGCATTTTTAGTGAAATAAAATAGTAACTGAGTGTGATTTTGATTTATGTTTTTGTGAGAATTAGTGATTGTGAGAAACTTTTCATTTGTGTCAATTTCATGTCTCCTTTTCAGACAGGGTCTATTCAGGTCCTTTAGGATTGGGTATTTGAGGTTGCAGGGGTTTTTCATTTTGTTGTTGATACTGTTTATTTCACCTTAGTCGTGTCAGTTTGTTGTACATGTTAGATGAGAATCCGTTTCAGAGATAGAATTTTCTCCAAAATTCTCTCTCAGTTTTTAGGGTGCCTTGACTCTTGGTTCATTGTTTCCTTTGCTCTGTAGAAATCCTAAAGTTTTACCTAGTCCCACATATTTATATTTGCATACTTTAGTGGTAATTTTTTATGCACCTATTTCCAATCCCTTATCATCCTCCCTTCTTCCCCCAAGCTCTAGTAACCGCTGTTACACTCTCTAGGTCTTTGAGATCAAGTTTTTTTTTTTTAGATTCTGTATGAGTGAGATAATACAAGGTTTGTCTTTCTCTGCCTGGCTCATTTCATTTACCATCACATCCTCCAGGTACAACCACAGGGCTCCCCATGAGGTGATGTCATCGAATTTTCCTGGCTGAAGAGTCGTCCTTTGTGTACACACATGGGAGTTTATTTTTTCATCTGCATATGGACGGTAGGTTGATTCATTTCCCTGACTGCTGTGAATAGTGCTGCAGTCCACCACCTCTCTCTTCCATGTACCAATTTCATGTGGGTTGAATGTATACCTAGCAGTACAATTGCTAGCGGAAATGGTCATTGTAGTTTTAATGTTTTGAGGAAGCCTCACATTGTTTCCGTAGTGTATGTATTAGTTTACTTCCCCAACAAGTGTGGAGAAGAATTCCCCCTCTCTAGAAATCCACACTGGCCAGTTGCTGTGGCTCACGCCTGTGATCCCAGCACTTTGGGAGGACGAGGCGGGTGGATCACCTGAGGTCAGGAGTTCAAGACCAGCCTGACCAACATGGTGAAACCCCGTCTCTACTAAAAATACAAAAAAAAAAATGAGCCGGGTGTGGTGGCAGGCACGTGTAATCCCAGCTACTCAGGAGGCTGAGGCAGGAGAATGGCATGAACCCGGGAGGTGGAGCTTGCAGTGAGCCGAGATCGCGCCACTGCACTCTAGCCTGGGTGACAGAGCAAGACTCCGTCTCAAAATAAAAAAAAATTGATATATCACATTAGATGATTCTATGAAATCATCTACTATATAAAATAAATATATATTATACATAAAATAAAAACACAAATCACACATTGACAATAACCCCTGCAGTCCAAGTACACCCCCACAATAGTACAAATTACACTTTAAAAAAAAAACTCAAGACATTTACACATTTAAACCAAAGTAATTGTCACTAGACTAAATACATTCATTCATCAAGTACAATAAATTTAGCATTGCTGCTTATAGTCACTAATAGCACAATTTTAGGTGCAATTTCACATGCTTTCATAAATCTTCCAGTACAGTTCCCATAGCAAAGTGTCTTTGTGCACGCCATCTTCATTTATATGCAGGTGCATCGTATATCATACTTAAAACTATTTTACGTCACAAGCTGTTAATATACATTTTAAGTGGACAGCAGGTAAAAAATTTAAACCTCAATGATGACAAAATTTAAAATTAAAGTCTTGAACACCTATAGTGATTTGTTTACTTGCATAAATACTATTTTCACTTAGTACAGGCTATTAAAATAAGCAGAGAATTTAAATATTAACTCAAAAAAAGATAGAGGCTCAAAACCTTCCTAAGAAATTAATGCGTTTTCAAAGTAATAATATAATGAGTCTGTAAGTCAAAAGGAATTTCATATTTATTGCCAAATTTAAAATACCAGTGATGTGAAGAGAAGATTGAGGCCTAAAATTGTGGTACTAAATTGTAAAATACAGTAAAGAAGATGCAGCTCATTTGCTTGGGAATATGTAATGGAATATTTTTCACAGTAATTTTTTTTTTTTTTTTTTGAGATGGAGTCTCGCTCTGTTGCCCAGGCTGGAGTGCAGTAGCACGATCTCAGCTCACTGCAAGCTCTGCCTCCCGGGTTCACACCATTCTCCTGCCTCAGCTTCCCGAGTAGCTGGGACTATAGGCTCCCACCACCACGCCCGGCTAATTTTTTGTATTTTTAGTAGAGATGGGGTTTCACTGTGTTAGCCAGGATGGTCTCAATCTCCTGACCTTGTGATCCACCCACCTCGGCTTCCCAAAGTGCTGGGATTACAGGTGTGAGCCACGGTGCCCAGCCAAGCCCCTGGATTTCTAATCCCCACAGTGGACTTGAGGAGTACAGTTGAACCCAGAGAAGATTCCCTGGCTTCTGCTGATACCACATGGTCACAAAGTCATCAACATTAAAGCCACTGCTCAGAGCACAGGCAAGTCTCGAAGTTCTCAGAGATAAAGATAGGGAGGTGAGTGAGTCAGTGCATACTCGGAGAGGAAACCAGGAACAGAGATGCTCATGGGTGAGGCAGCAAGGATACAAGTCTAGCTCTTCAAAGAGAGGAAGAGAGGGCACTGACCCAGGCTGGTGGCTGCTCAAGACATCTGAGGCCTGCCCCACGGCCTTAGCCACAGCTGCAGCAGGTGCCAGTTCAGCCTTCCTCATGTCTCGCAGCACCCCCATAATGAAGTAGTCAACCCCAACAAAAATGTGTATGCATTCTCCTGTCTTCTTCACTCAGGGCCTCTCTCTCCTCATGGATCCTAAGGCCCCTCTCTCCCTGGTCAGCCATTCGCTGCATGTGCAGCCAGTTCCAGGCCCTCAGCCAGCACATCTGCAGGACTGGCTCCCCAGTGGACACCATTGTCACCCCCACGGACACCACTCCCCTTTCCTAGCCTCTCATTCTAGGGCCTCCTGCTGGCTCCAGTGGGAACTACTTTCCATCTTTCCAGACCCTTCCCACATCCCTAGGTGGCAGCACAGCCTCAGCCAAGGACACTACCACCTTCCTGCACTGGGGTTCTGTGGCCCCACCCCAAATTTGAAACTTTCCACTAACCCTGGAGCCACTGCTTAGCCCATATCTGGGGCCCCTGTGGGGCAGCAGCACAGATCCCCACCTTTGACCACTGTTTCCAGTTTGGAGGCCTGCCACCTCCAGCTCCAGTCCAGCCCCAGCCTCCTGGAGGCCAGCCAGCCCCAGGCACCAAAACACATTCAACCTTGGGGGGCCATTACTCACCACTTCTACCTTGACCCCACAAGCACCCACCCTGCCGTATCCCCCTGGCCCATCCACTGCCCCTGGCTCTGCAGCTGCCACCTACACAGCTAGTGCCATGGCCACTATTTGGCCCAACGTACATTCTGGTAAGATGAGAGGGACAACATTTTTATCCATTTTTCCATGGATCAGGAGCTCTTTCTGTTTATGAGGCTGTGTTCAGCTATGTGACAGAGACAATCAGCCTTACCCATAATGCTGGAGTCCAGAGGTGGACAGAGGGTTTCTATTGACAAACCTGCATCTGGATAATGAGGCTCAAATCTCTGAAGGTCCATCCTCCCTGTCCTAGGTGACAAACACAGTGGCTCTGCCTCAGAGTCCATGGCACCAGTTGCCATGGTAACTCCCAATGTCTCTACTGCCCCTTGTGCAGGAGAAGGTGACCTCAGGGTCTGGGGCACAACAAGAGCTTTACAAGGGGAATTCTGCATGCACAGGTTGCGGAGTTCCTACTCCCTGATGTCCCACAACCCTCCCCGCCACCTGGACTGTTGAAAAGCTCCAATGGTAAGGTATGAGAGGAGAAAACACAAGATAGTTTCTGTGGTCTCTGAGAAAATCACCCATGGGGGTCCCTGTGGTCCTGAGTGGGATCAGCTATAGGAAAGTCACATCCATGAAATCAACATCCCCCAACTTCCCCAGAGCAGGCATGGTGTTTTTCCAGCAATGGTGGAGCCTCGCCTTCACCCTCTCACGCTCCACAGAGAGGTTTGCTGGCCTCAGGCCCTCATTTCCCCCCATCCATACCCCCAACCTCCTGACATGAACACTGAAGGTGCAGGTACCTACCTGTGAGTGACTCTGGCCACATCTTCGCTGGAACTCCCCTGGGACCTGTGTCCTCACTCATTTCACACCTTAGTGCCTCATCCCTGGGTCACGGGGAGCCTCAGGCAGCCCCAAGCACAGATGATCGGGGTTGGAGGGAGGTGACTGGAGAGGGACAAGGAGGTTTCTGCTCTGATCCCTCAAAGACAGTAGTCCATGCTGTAGCGACTGTCTACCTGCTTGAATGGTCTCCGGCCTCTGGCCGAAAAGAAAACTAGGAAAGGCTCATTTCTCTTCTTCCAAAAAATAATAATAATAAAAAAGTCAACTCCACAGGCTCTGAGTTTTGCTCATCTAGATAACCGGGCAACACCGCAGTGTATCAGGAGGTTTTTGTTTTTGTTTTCAGCATTCCTGAGACTTCAGAAACATTCTATGGAGAATTGAGAAGAGAGTATTTTTTGAGCCAGAAAGTGCTTTCCTGTGAAGTTTGTATATGTGAGTTATTTTAATATCTAAACATTGTCAGAGAACAAGACTCTGAGCAGGCTGAGGTTTTATCCCGCCTCCCCACCTGTGTGTCAGTGTGCGAAGGACTGCTGTGCTCAATCACACAGTAATTAGTCAGCCTCGTCCTCAGACTGGAGCTTAGATATGAGCAAAAGCCCTTTATTGGACCAGCCTTCCATCAATCCAGAGGAGCAGCTCGGGACCCTGGAGCCCTGGTCATGAAGTACATTTTGGTAGTGGCTCAGGAGATACCAGGGAGGGCTCCCTGGCTTATGCTGGTACCAGTATATCCAATAGAAATCAGCATGGACGCCAGTGCTCAGGATGCAGGGAAGTGCGGCTGGTGCTTCCAGAGATGCAGAGAGGGAGGGCGGCTGAGTCAGCACAGGCTGGGAGAGGGAACCTGCAGACACAGGTGGATATGGCTGCTGGCTCACTTACCAGCATGAAGTTGCTGGAAGATCTGAGCCAGAGGGGACTGCTGAAGCCTGGGGGACCTGCCCTGGACGTGGGAGGCCTGTCCTTACCTGGGAAGTGAGAGAGGAGCAGCAGGAGGACAGGAGCCATGGTGGACACAGCCCTTCTGAGGTCCAGAGCTGGAGTGGGCTGCTCCAGGCCTCTCTTATCCCTTCCACTGACCTCACAGAGGAGGAGTTACAGATGCCAATGTGTCCCCACATTGCCTGCCTCTACTTTACCCCATGTATTTATTCAAGTCCTAGGGGCTGGTGGACAGGGGAAGTCCGACAGGCCAGACCTGGGAAGAAGTGGGTGCTGGAACCACACCCAGGGAGGGCACAGCTTCCAGGTCAGCCTCAGTGAGTGCAGGCTCCATCACCCAGCCCTGCGGAATTTGTGGGGTAGGAGGGGGTTGGCACAGTTGTGGCTGCCCACTGCACAGACCCTGAGATCCACAGTGTCTCCTGCTGCTCTCTCGCCAGACTGCATTCCCTCAGTAGAAGTCATGTGAGTGGTGTCGGCCTGAGAGCCTAGTGAGTGTCAGTCTAGAAGTATCTATGGCCACGCCCTGGGCCATGGCCCAAGTTGCTGATACTAAAAGAAAGACAGCATTTTTCAATACGTTTTTCTTGCATTACTAGAAGGACATGGGCAAAATATCACCTCCACCCAATGAAAGGAGGCTGCGGGGAGGCTGCAGAGGGCTCTGGGAGCAAAGTCCTGGGCAGCTCCTTCCACAGAGGCCAGGGAAAGAGGTGATTGTGACTTGGGTCTCACTGGGCTGTGGGGTCCTGCTCTGGAACAAATACTCACACATTACTAGCTTTGGAAAGATAGGGCTTTGGAAAAAAAAAAGAGACATTTTCAATGCAATGATATGCTGAGGGGATGACAGAATACATCATTGATGAGAAGATTGAACAAGTGAAGTGTAAGTGTCAAGTCAGGTAAGGACATTTGAATCCAGACTGTAGAGGTCCTTGTGTGTCAGTGAGGGGTTTGGTTTGATTCATTATCTGGGATTGTTTCGGGTTGTGAACTGGAGGCAGAATAGATGAAACTGACAGTTTAAAAAGACATCCTTTGGTGTCAGGTTCAACAAAGAGCCTGAAGGCAGCCAAACAGGAGAGGGGGTATCAGGAGGGTTGATGGCTGATCCCAGGGATCTGGAGGAGGAAGGAGAAAGAACCCAGGAGAAACCACAGGGTAACTGTGTCCCTAGAGGAACGGTGAGAGAGGGATAGGGATAAAGCTGAGTGTTGTCGATGGGTTGACCAGGTGGGTTTTATTGTTGTTAACTGTCTTGCAGAGAGAGAGAGAGAGAGAGGAGAGAGAGAGAAGAGCCCAACTGTGCACTTTCTCAAGAGAAAACCTGTATCAATAATCAATAATAAAATGTACCTAGATCACCTCCCTACTCATTGCTGGAACTTTTACCTAGTGTCCTTTATGAAAGAAATACCTAGTGTCTTTATGTAAGAAACTATTTCAACATTTCTTCAAATTATCTCCCATATTACTTGCTGAGTTTTGTAATTATTTTCCTATAGATATGTTTGAAGTTTATCATTTTTAGTGAGACTAGAATAATAAACATTCTGCACTACTTTTAAAATTATATAAGCAATATATTTGATCTTATTAAGTATAAACTTGATGATTTTATTATTCATTCTAATAAATTTTTAACAATGTTTTAATGTTATTCATATATAGTTGCCTTTAAAATGTTAACACATTTATGTAAACTTTTTGTGCTCTTGTAATATCCTTGGCCTCTTATTTCTCAGGAACAAATTTCTACCACAGAGAAGAAATATTAGAAGTTATATCAAAAATGGAGTATGTTGTGAATTTTAAAAACCTTTTAAAATATGGCTTTTTAACCATTTTTTAAATTTTTATTTATTTTTTTATTATACTTTAAGTTCTGGGATACATGTGCAGAACGTGCAGGTTTGTTACATAGGTATACACGTGCCATGGTGGTTTGCTGCACCCATCAACCCATCATCTACATTAGGTATTTCTCTTAATGTTATCCCTCCCCTAGCCCCCAACCCCCGTCAGGCCCCAGTGTGTGATGTTCCCCTCCCTGTGTCCATGTGTTCTCATTGTTCAACTCCCACTTATGAGTGAGAACATGTGGTGTTTGGTTTTCTGTTTCTGTGTTAGTTTTCTAAGAATGATGGTTTCCAGCTTCATCCATGTCCCTGCAAAGGACATGAACTCAATACCATTCAGGACGTAGGCATGGCCAAAGACTTCATGAGTAAAACACCAAAAGCAATGGCAACAAAAGCCAAAATTGACAAATGGGATCTAATTAAACTAAAGAGCTTCTGCACAGCAAAGGAAACGATAATCAGAGTGAACAGGCAACCTACAGAATGGGAGAAAATTTTTGCAAAAGATGGCTTTTAAGTAATTTACACAGCAGGTTGTCTATTAATATGTAACATGCTAACAGATCTATTTGAGCGATCCTATTTCCTTGAGATTAAAGGTAGATTTGGCATTTTCTTCAAAAAGATATTTTTACTCTGTTTCTATAGTGTGAAATTGTACTTCATTACGAAGTGATCTCTTATGTCTGTCGTTAAAATAAATCAAACCAGAAACTAAATCCAGCTCTAGGAAGACTACACTTTATTTTATTTATCTCTGATGCATCTTATAATTTTTTTTGCTATGAGTGTCTGTGTGGATACTCTTCATTAAGAAAAACAGATTCTTTTGGAATATATTACCTTTCTACACTAACATTTCTTCCTGGCTAACACGGTGAAAACCCGTCTCTACTAAAAATACAAAAAATTAGCCGGGCGTGGTGGCGGGCGCCTGTAGTCCCAGCTACTCGGGAGGCTGAGGCAGAAGAATGGCGTGAACCCGGGAGGCAGAGGTTGCAGTGAGCTGAGATCGCGTCACTGCGCTCCAGCCTGGGCGACAGAGCAAGACTCCGTTTAAAAAAAAAAAAAAAAAAAGCTAGATGACAACCACAATACTAAGTAATGCAACTCTAATACTAATGCATTTTACATAGTTACTAAATAATCCATTTTCTTGCTTTCAATATTCCTAATGCTAGATGAAAGTACTGTTTAGTTTACCAAACCTTTAATCAAAAATGTCTAATCAGTACATCTTTTTAGCCCTTTAATTCATGTTAGAGAGTTTTAAGATGGAAGAAACAAATTAGACTCAAATTAAAAAAAAGTCTGACCTACAGTAGCTATTAGATAGTTAACATTTGTGACATCATCATGATTTTGTTCTGATACATGTATTTCACTTAGCATTGTTGAAATCAACTGGAATAATAGCCAAATAAAAACATTCTTTTAGTTATAATTTCAAAAACGATTGAAATTTATCAACAGTCATAACAACATCATTGTACTCTTAAATTAGACAATTCTTAGCACATATAAAAACATATTTACCTCTTTCAACTAGGACAATGTTAGAATTTATCAAAATTCACCATCATCAACTTTTTTTTTTTTTTCCAAAATCTTGATTGTTAGGTACTATAAAACTGCACCCTAATCAAATGATGTGTTTTTGATCTGATGATTTTACAAAGTTGGGAGGAAATTCAACGAAAAAAATACTTGTACAATTAAATTTCAAATCCTAAACATTTACTTATTTAAGCCTGCCTCTCTAAACTTAAAATAGATATCAGCTCCTCCAATAGGATGAGTAGATTTTCTCACTATATTTTCCACTTCTTTTTAAATTTTCTCCTCCATTTGAGCATTCAGAAGCATGAATCTGTGGGGATTGTTAAAGTTTTTTTTTAGTTTGCTGCATTTCTGAGTATACAAACACATACACATATAACTATAGTATCGTGTGTGTGTGTGTATAATTTGTGTATATACATATATTTGTTCAATCTGGAAGCCATTGAAATTTTCTGTTTATAACAACACAGAATGACCTATTCTTTCAGCACCTACCCCATTACACCCTCTGTTTTATAATCACTGGACAAAATATAGCATCATCTATATTAATGCAGATTGTATACATCATTTGTGACCTATTTATTTGTTCTAGAAATTTGTACTTAGCAATGATAGACATTTGTACTGTAATATTTATATCATGAAGGGTACCTATTCTCTTTGAAACATAGCAACTCTCTCATCTTAACCCTAAAATTTTCATTTGTTCTATTTATTTTAGGGCAGGTCACTTTCAACAGCTTGTTTTCTTGGGCATATCATAAAAGTATTTGCAATTGGGTGTTATGTATCAGCCAGAATACACACGTAGTTATACATTTTGAAAGTTATCTAAAATTCTGCATTCAGAAACACTTTAATTATATGTATTAGGCTGGGCATGGTGGTTCACGCCTCTAATCCCAATACTTTGGGAGGTCGAGGTGGGTGGATTGCTTGAATCCAAGAGTTGAAGACCAGCCTGGGCACCATGGAAAAACCCCATCTCTACAAAATATTAGCTGAGCATGGCGGCAAGAACCTGTAGTCCCAGCTACATGGGAGGCTGAGTTGGGAGGATCACCTGAGCCTGGGAGGTCAAGGCTGCAGTGAGCCATGATCAAGCCACTGCACTCCAGCCTGAGTGACAGAGTGAGACCCTGTCTCAAATAAAAAATTATATGTATTCACCCAAAGTGTTCACCCCACCGAGAAGATGCACTGGTGAAAATATAGTGATTTTTTTTTCCTTTAAATACTCAGTGAATGGCCAGCCGTTTACATACACAATGGTAGACAAATTCCTCTGTGAATTCACAAAGTTTGGGAGATAAATAAGTGCATAGTAATATATAGAGATAAGTGGAAAAATAAGTTTCATAATTATATTGTGAGAGAAATATGATTTTTATAATATCAAGTAACACTTTTTTCTAATTCTGAACAGTTTATTGCTTCTAGAAACATTAGATCACTCAGGAATGGTAGAAATATGACTTTTTAGGGAAATATGACTTTTAAAATGTGACTTTAAAAAATGTCACTTTTTAAGAAACATGACTTTTATAACAATATCCATTTATGCTGTCTTTAATTCTGAACAGTTTGCTTATTGGTTCTAGAAATATTAGATGACTCAGGAATGGTAGAAATATTTGGCAATGGAATTTCGAATCGAGAATGGAACTTCTGGTTGTTACTAACATATCGGTTTTGCCCCTGCTCAGTTTGAAATTCTTGCCATTGAGTGTATTTTGGGGTACACAATTTCTCCTCCTAAAACTTATTTTAATAAGCACAGAATAGTAATTAATGAGCTTGGGTTTTGTTGTTTTTTTTTTAAGTAAAACGCCTAATCTTTTATTTTATTTTATTTTATTTTATTTTTTTACGGAGTCTCGCTCTGTCGCCCAGGCTGGAGTGCAGTGGCGCTATGTCGGCTCACTGCAAGCTCCGCCTCCCGGGTTCACGCCATTCTCCTGCGTCAGCCTCCCGAGTAGCTGGGGGCTCCCGCCACCACGCCCGGCTAATTTTTTGTGTTTTTAGTACAGACGGGGTTTCACCATGTTAGCCAGGATGGTCTCTATCTCCTGACCTCGTGATCCACCCACCTCGGCCTCCCAAAGTGCTGGGATTACAGGTGTGAGCCACCACTCCCTGCCGTAAAAGGCCTAATCTTTAATGACCCTCCTGTGCGTGTGAAAGCACTCTTGTTGGTGCAGCAGAAAGCGGACCTCACAATACACATTGTGACTTTACCCTGAGACGTTGATGATGCTCCTATCACCATGGTTATGTGATTGGGTATATCTTGCCCTCGGTCCTAACTGCCACTGTCTGTGCTGAGTTTTTCAAAGTTCATAGCAGGTTGAACATGCTTGCTGTCATTTTCACAGATTCTGGTCTTTCTTATGGGGAACCTGAGTTCCTGCATTAAAGGTATGTTCACATTGGCCTGTTGAATGCTGTCCTCTCAAATGTACTAGTTAATATTTAAAAATATATTTTATTAAAAAATTCTCCTCTGTATTTTTCATATGCAGTTATAAATGTGTTTCCCGGTTATGTTTTATTCCTCAATTTATATATTTGATTCTAGTATCAAGCAGGATGCCTTTGAGCTTTTCCTTTATTTAAAAGACATGTCTTATTTCCTGTTACATCTGGCACCCCTCAAACCACCCAATTAGGTATCCTTCTGGGAAAAATATGGCAAAGTATGTTTTAATGCAGTTTTTACCTAATTAAGAACCTATTAAAATCATTAATTTTAAAAATTAGGAGCAAAGCTAGAATGATGCAGATGTCTTTGAGGCTTTTAACACAACGAAGTGTGTCCATCTTTGTCTTTTGTTGTTGTTTTTTTGTTTGTTTGTTTGTTTTTGAGATGGAGTCTCACTCTGTCGCCCAGGCTGGAGTGCAACGGTGCGATCTCGGCTCACTACAACCTCCGCCTCCCGGGTTCAAATGATTCTCTCGCCTCAGCCTCCCGAATAGCTGGGATTTCAGGCACCCACCATCATGCCCGGCTAATTTTTGTATTTTTGTAGAGACAAGGTTTTACCATGTTGGCCAGGCTGGTCTTGAACTCCTGACCTCAGGTGATCCACCTGCCTCGGCCTCCCAAAGTGGTGGTGTTACAGGCGTGAGCCACCACACCAGGCCCTGGCCTGTTTTTAGTATGTCTTTCCTCTCTCCTTTTTCATGAAATGTGTATTCAGTTTAGTAAATTTGGAATATGTCATTTATATTCACATATTAACTTTTTGAAAAGAAGTAAGAATGTGTATTGTCTATGTGTCAGTGTGTGAAACAAAACACACTTATTTTTATGATTGGGGTTTATCCAAAATGATAGAGATAACAATTATAGTCAATCACCCAAACCACTTACCTTTCCAAAGGTAAATATAATCAAGTGTAATCATTTTTTCTCATCCAGAGAGTAGTTCATATTTCAACATACAAAGATAGAGAAGTGAAATGAATCGGTAAACACTATTAACCAAGAACATACAGATTTACTCACACCAGGAAACACGTAGGTCACATACATATATGTAAAGATACATTTAAAAATAATAAGATGATAATTGTACAAGTTTGCATATAAAGTGTAACTTTGAAAAACTGTTAATACTGTTTCTGATGGATTGTGTGACTTAGTTCTCCTGACCTATCCTTCAGAGTTCTTTCTAAGGAGGTTGTTCGTTCCATGACTTGGAAACAATCGAAAGTTAGAGGCACTTACATGTGTTAAGAATAAATAAGGCAGCTGGGCGCGGTGGCTCATGCCTGTAATCCCAGCACTTTGGGAGGCCGAGGCAGGCAGATCACCTGAGGTCAGGAGTTCAAGACCAGCCTGACCAACATGGAGAAACCCCATCTCTACTAAAAATGCAAAATTAGCTGGGCGTGGTGGTGCACACCTGTAATTCCAGCTACTCAGGTGGCTAAGGCACAAGAATCACAGAACACAGGATACCACTTCACAATTAGCCTCAGGTGTCACCCTTGTGGCAACTCTCCTGTACAGCTGGGTTAAAGAGCCTCGGTGCTCACATGGGGTCATCTCCTCACTCTGCCTTCCTTCACTGTGGGTAGCTTGGGCTGAAACTAGACCTCATATGGCTAGGTGAACTAGACCTGGCTGAAACTAGGCCCCCTCATGCAATGATTGCAAACACAAGGGATAGGAAGGGAAGACTAAAAGGAAGATCTTTGATTTACAGTGGATATTTTAACATGTATTTCAGTATTTTCCAGTTTTTAATAATTGATTTATAACAAAGAATTGAGTAAATATAATTAGCCCTGGTACCTGATATTGAATTTAGTTCCTCAATAAAAATTTACACATAAACAGGGGCTGAATCCTATACCCCAGATGTTAAATGTTACAGCAGCAGATGGGGGTCTGTGGAGGTTGAAAGGGAGTTGGTCAATATCAAGGAGTCAGTGGCAGTTCTGCTGGACTTTAAAATGGGCTGAGGGAGTGACAGGACTCTGTGGTTGAATTCTAGCATGCATTTTAGTAGTTGCTCATTTGAAGTTTGAGTATTTCGTGTCGCTTTCATCTGCTATTACCTGGAAAGACAAAGGCTCTATTTCTCATTTCCTTTCTGCCCGTCTCTCTGCCTTCCTTGGTCCATAGAAGAGGATGGCCCAGGAGAAGCTCAATTCATGCTTGTTAACCAACCACATCCATAAGTTCTAGCCCTTTGTTCATGTCACCACCAATGAACTGACAGTCATGTTGTGTCCTTTCAGTTCCCCCAGAAGATCAATGGAAGGTGGATTCCAAAGAGTGGGCAAGTGAGGACCCCTTCTCTGTTACCAAGGTAAAGTAGCCTGTCTTTGCCTAACATGTGTGTAATTTTCTTGGTTATTTCATTTTTCAATTGATATCAGATAGAGAAAAATGATCAGGTGCGTTATAGGTGTTAGATGATGTTTCCTTGGGGATGGAGGGGTGCACCCCACCCACTGACACCTGATTGAAGAGGACATCTGGAATTGGCAGGGCTGGGTCACACACAGCATGTTAGGGGACACTTTCCTCTGCAACAAGCTTTCCACTTTAGATTAAGTATTTTGTAACTGCTACTTCAAAATGGTCTTGACAAAGATTTTTTTTTTTTTTTGAGACGGAGTCTTGCTGCGTAGCCCAGGCTGGAGTGCAGTGGTACGATCTCGGCTCACTGCAAGCTCCGCCTCCCGGGTTCACGCCATTCTCCTGTCTCAGCCTCCTGAGTAGCTGGGACTACAGGTGCCCGCCACCACATCTGGCTAATTTTTTTTTTTTTTTGTATTTTTAATAGAGACAGGGTTTCACCATGTTAGCCAGGATGGTCTCGATCTCCTGACCTCGTGATCTACCTCCCTCGGCTTGCCAAAGTGCTGGGATTACAGGCGTGAGCCACTGAGCACGGCCAACAAAGATACTTTTCAACAAAAGCTATTGTGCTTTCTACAGATGAACTCTACTCTAGATGTTGGGGCTTTAGACTTAAACATTCTTTCCCATCTTGGTTACCAAGAGCCCCTAAGAGAACGAAAGACCTGTGCAAACAGCCCACAGTATGATCTCATCCTCAGAGTGTTTTCTTTCTTCTAATTGCAGGTGACCCCAAGGAACACAGTAAATGGTATGTATTCTGGAATCATTCACCAGGTGTAAAAAAAAAAAGTGTATGTATAAGAAATGTGGAACTTAATTGCTGACTTTCATCTAGACCATCTCCATGATCCAAGACACCTGGAAAGAACGAGAATTTGGGGTGAACTAAAACTGGTTTTTCAGGTGACAAACTCTTGTCACCTATGTGCAATCCCTGGAAACAGGCATATTCACTTTAGGTGGGGTGGATTTGTGTGCACCAAGGCAGAAGGTGTCTATGTGTAGGTCTGTGTGATGTGTTTGTGAATGTGTGTCTAACACACAGGTGAGTGCAAGCTTAAGGGGTCTGCACACTCAATGAACTTACACACAGTATTGAAAGTAAGACTGGACTTCATTATTTATACATTTTCAATATATGGTCTCTGTAACATAAAATTAATGATGTAATACCATAGAATATTTCCCTAGTATTGAATCTTGTCTCTCAATATTGAAAGAGTTGCTTAAAAGCACATGAGAAGTGCTACTCAACACATGATATGTACTGTAGCTGCAGTTAAAGCATTCATTTGGGAAGTTATAAGACTTATGACTAAACTGATGACTTATGCTCTAAACTCAGGCATGAGCTTTGTAAGACAATTGAAGGGGAGGATAAAAGACCTCATTTGCCTCCTCTCTTCAGTGGTTTTATGTGCCTTGTGGAGTGTGGTTATGTGCCTTGTGGAGTGCAGTTACACAGGAAGTTGATGGAGTAAACACAAAAAAGAATTGAACAGGTTAATTGAATCCATAAGACCGTGGTGAGGTTAGTCAATAAGACGGGTCATTTATTTTTTAACTTTTATTTTATTTTTTATTTATTTATTTTTTGAGACGGAGTCTTGCTCTGTTGCCCAAGCTGGAGTGCAGTGGCACGATCTCGGCTCACTGCAAGCTCCGCCTCCTGGGTTCACACCATTCTTCTGCCTCAGCTTCCCAAGTAGCTGGGACTACAGGCGCCCACCACCATGCCCGGCTAATTTTTTGTATTTTTAGTAGAGATGGGGTTTCACCGTGTTAGCCAGGATGGTCTCGATCTCCTGACCTCATGATCCACCTGCCTTGGCTTCCCAAAGTGCTGGGATTACAAGCATGAGCCACCGCGCCCGGCACAATTTTTTTTTTTTTTTTTTTTGAGATGGAGGCTCACTCTGTCGCCCAGCTCCATCCATGTTCCTGCAAAGGACATCATCTCATTCTCTTTTATGGCTGCATAGTATTCCATGGTGTATATGTACCACATTTTCTTTATCCAGTATGTCATTGATGGGCATTTGGGTCTTTGCTATTATGAATAGCGCTGCTGTGAACATATGTGTGGATGTCTTTAGGGTACAATGATTTATATTTCTTTGGGCATATAACCAGTAATGGGATGGCTGGGTTGAATGACATTTCTGTTTTTAGCTCTTTGAGGAATCACCACACTACTTTCCACAATGGTTGAACTAATTTACACAGTCTCTAAGAGTATATAAGTGCTCCCTTTTCTCTGCAACTTTGCCAGTATCTGCTGTTTTTTGACTTTTTAGTAATAGCCGTTCTGACTGGTGTGAAATGGTATCTCATTTTGTCCCACCAGTTTTTTTAACTGTTAAGTTCAGGGGTGCATGTGCAGGTTTGTTACATAGGTCAACTTGTGTCATGGGGATTTCTTGTGCAGATTATCTTGTCACCTGGGTTTTAAGCCTAGCGCCCATTAGTTATTTTTCCTGATCCTCCCTCCTCCCACCGTCCCCCATCCGATAGCCCCGTGTGTGTTGTTCAGCTCTGTGTGTCCCTGTGAGATTGGTCATTTTTAGGTCAAATTTTACATAGTATGTTCTTTATGTGCTTTCTTCTAGAACTTTCTATGTTTTATTAACTAGGCAACTGTTGCTAAAATCTCTACTAAAAGTGGGCACATCTTTATAATAACAAATAGAAGCTTGTAAAGTTGTGATACCTTAAATTTTGCCAAGTTATGAGGGCTTTGCCTGAGACCTGGATGACAGAGTTGTGTAAGAATGTGGGTTCCTCTGAAGACTGTTGAATTTTCTGAGAATAAAGATCTTATTTGTTTCTATTACATAGGGTTAAAGCAGGGACACGGTGGTCTCTAAGGCACATAGGAGGCTCTGAGAACGGAAAATGAGATCTTTCCAAACAGTAATGCAAATCTCCATTTCTGTATTTAGGATCCCTCTGAGAGCAAGCAGGGGTTCACAGAAGGATATAGCTCACTAAGAGAAACAAATAATGGGAAACACAGGTTTATAGCATTTAGAAGAAAATACCAAGATGAACATATTAATATCTAAAGTGAGTTTTGATGAAAACAATATAAAAATTTTTAAAACTCAAAATGTAAATATCAGGACCATGTGACTTACTTTTATTTCTACCAAATAATAAAGACTGGCAATCCTGGGCACACACTTCCAGAGAATACACAGCAAACACAGCCATAGTGCTTTATCATTTTAGGAGAATCTTGATTCCACTCCTGCAATAATAGACTTGACTGGAAAGTGGAAGGACAGAAACATTCCTCTGAATGTGGAACCCAAAATCTGAAAACAAATGTTAGTGATCTAGAGGTGGACTTAAAAAAATAGGATGAAGAGTGGTATTTTATGAGAAGACTTTCAGAGGGCTCACGAGAGAGAATCAGTGGCATTTTCACTGGTGAAGGATTGGGAGAAGAGGCAGAGCCATTGGGTTAATGGAAGGGACATCTGGAGTCAGAGGGAAAGGGGGATCAGAGTGAACCTTGAATGAGAGTCCTGGGGCAGAGTCCTGGGGCAGAGGTTTCCAGGCTGTGGCTATGGAGGGTTTTTTGTTTTTTTTTTTTTTTGAGACAGAGTCTTGCTCTGTCTCCCAGACTGGAGTGCAGTGGCGCGATCTCGGCTCACTGCAAGCTCCACCCCCTGGGTTCACGCCATTCTCCTGCCTCAGCCTCCCGAGTAGCTGGGACTACAGGCGCCCGCCACCATGCCCGGCTAAATTTTTGTATTTTTAGAAGAGACGGGGTTTCACCATGTTAGCCAGGATGGTCTCGGTCTCCTGACCTCATGATCCGCCCACCTCGGCCTCCCAAAGTGCTGGAATTACAGGCATGAGCCACTGCGCCTGGCCGGAGGGGTCTTTCTGACAGGAGATAGGACTGTCCCCTGCCACGGCAAGGTCAAGAAATGGATGTGGAGTTTGTAAAATAGAAAGTGATCTTTGATGGGGAAAGAATGAGCTGATAAGGTGTACACTCCCTGCTGGTGCACCTGCTGCCCATTCTTAGCCACACCTTTTTCCAGGTGGCTCAGATCAGCAGTCAAGGAGAAAGTGGGGGTGGCAGACTAAATTCATTAAACCACCAAAGCACCAGCCCAGATGGCCTCTTTTTCAGTTAATTCGCATTAGCTACTTATTCAGGTTTGATAAGTGGGAGAGAAGTTGTTACTTGCAGAAGCATCTTGTGATAGATGTTTTGCATTGTTCTAAGGCCTGAGCAGTCTTGGAGACAGGCAGACACTGGTCGCTCACTGTGATCACTGGAGGAAACAGTTACTGAGAGGCAGCTGACAGGGTGAAGGGAGTGGGGGAGGAAGGCCACGCATTTGTGCTTCCCAAGGTCCCACAGGTGACATCCTTTAAAGGAAACTGTGTCATACTTGGGGTGGAAGATTTGAAAGGCAGAGGAAAAGAATGCTTTATAATTAGGGACCTGTCTTCATCTCAGGCGACTCTTCCCGAGCACGAACTCTGTCTTTCCACACACCTTGGGAATAAAAGTATTGGAGAAAGAGAGTGAAAGGGTCCCTTTGATCAGTGGTCCAGGGCACGATATAGAGGTCTCAGTTGTTCAGGAATCTCTGTCTCTAGGGAACCAAATTTATTCCAACCCCCAGATCCTTCACTCATTAGAATGGGATTCTGCAAATCTCTCACCATCTCTAAGTGATACTCAGCCCCTCCTGTGCCCACCCTGCCGGGCTGATGTGGGGAGTCCCGGAGATAATAGGAGATGTCCTCCAGAAGTTGTAAGGCATCACACCCACGTAAAAGATGAACAGGGAACCACCCTCCACTGGCCTGGAGCCACCCAAGCAGCCTCTCTGTGTTCAGCCACTACTAAGTCTCCGGCTTATTCCTTCTGGCATTTAGTAAACCCTTACACATCACTACTGAAGTTCTGATTCTCTTTCTTAATATTCTCCTGCATTTAGTGATTTTTCTAGCCCCATACTGTGAGATTAATAAGTAGGCCCTATGAAAAGTTTAACATGACAGCGCAGAGATCTGAGGGCCGAGGGATTACATGACCTTCCCAGGTCTACGTGGCTCTAGTGGGATTGGGGTGCAGGTCCCTCACTACACCAGCCCTCTGCCTTTCTGTATCGTCTCACCTATGTGAAGCCATCGCCCACGCAGTCTTTCTAATCCATGTATAAAGTGCTCACTGAACTCCACGATCTTCCTGAGACCTAACTTTGATTCAGATGGCTCTGCTTGGAAGCCAGTAAACAATGGGATCAGAAGTTAGAACCAATTATCACAATTCTCCCTCTGGTCTTCTGTCAGTAACATGTCATTAGTTCTCTGCATTGCAAAAAGATTAACCAGGCTCTTCTCTGATAGAAATTTTAAGAAGATATAGCCTCTACACCAAGAGGCACATGACACAACCTGGACTCTGGGCAAACCACCGGGTGCACTCACATGAAGGTACCGTGGAAATTTATTAAGTTGATTTAAGAATAACAATTGTGGATTGTATTCAGTGTCCCATATGTTAGAAGAAGCTATAGAGGAGGTTAAGCCATATGTTTAAATGTGCCAAAATTTTTATTTGCCTAATCAAGAGGTATTGCTGAAATCACAAAATTAAATATACATTTAAAAGTCAATTTTGATTCACATTTAATAGTAAGACAATCTTTCAAACTAATCTCTAGACGTTACTCAATTGTTGAACATTATTGTGATCTCCCTGAAACAGTGGAGCTATAATTTTAAAACTGAATGTTTAACCAAGGGAGTTTTAGATTGACATAAAAATCTAGCATGTAATACACAAAGTTCCCACATCATTCTATTCTCTCACCCTACCTTATAATTCCACCTAATATTCATATCTTACATTACTGTGTTATATTTGCTAAAAGTAATGGGCAAATATTGATACATTAGTACCTAAAGTCTGTCATTCTCATAGTGTTCTTTTTCCTGTTACACATTTCTATGAATTTTGAAATATTTACTGTTATGTTTACCATTTCGATCTCGTAAGGAATACTCTCACCGCTCCAAAAATTCCCTCTTCTTTACTTATGAATCTCTGTCCTCTTTCTCCAGAAACCTTGCCAACTATTGGTATTTTTACCATCCCCTTTGTTTTGCCTTTTCCAGAATGTCATACAGTTGGAGTCATATATTAGATTGGTGCAAAGTAATTGCGGTTTTTCCATTCTTCAACTGGCAAAAACCACAATTACTTTTGCACCAGCCCAATATTATGTAGCTTTTTCAGCTGAACTTACTTCACTCATCAATATACTTAAAGTCACCCTGCTCTGCTGCCTGTGTGGTCTCATCCACATGAATGCATGCCCCCACAGTCTTTCTGATACATGCCATTGTCTTTTCTATGCTTTGATGGAGAACTCCTTTAAATCACAGAATAATATTGTGTTTTATAGATGGTTGTTTTTTCATTCACCTCTTAAACATCTTGCTCGCTTCTAGTTTGGGTGGTTATAGATAAAGCTGCTGTAAACATTCCTGTGCAGGCTTTGTGTGGACGTAACTTTTCATCTCAACTGAGTACGTACCTAAGAGCGCAATTTTCGGATTATATTGTGAAAATATGTTGGGATTCGTAAGAATTTGGTGGATTTCGTAAGAGAAATCATTTGGTTCTGGTGTTGTCTTTTTTGGAATGTTCTTAATGTTAATTCACTTAATAGGCAGAGGCTTGTTCAGATTGTCTGTGTTCCTAGTGTGACCTTGAGAAGATTATGTCTCTCAAGGAATTGATACATTTCACCTAGTTATCAAACTGTGGGAATAGAGTCATTCATAATAGTCCTTGATTATCCTTTTAATGACCAACAGTTTGGTAGATATGGCCCCTCTTTTATTTCTGATATTAGTAATGTGTGTTATCTTTTTTTGCTTTGTTAGCCTGCATATTTATTAATCTCTGCATAAAGATTTAATTATTAATTAATTTATTAATTTAATAAATTAATAAAATGAATTTATTAATTTTATTGCAATTACAATTAATAATTGCAATAACTAATTGGGGGGAATTTTCATTAATGCAGGAACACACATCCAGGAAAATGTTACCCACACTGAGCAATGATGGCGATAACTTTTCAGTTCTGGATAGGACATAGGCATTTATCCAGCTCTCCGTTCAAATACACACACACCCACACACGCACACACATACACACACACTCATGTTTTTACTATGAATAAAATCTATTGCACTCCTATCATTTAGAAAATCACATGATGCATTAGGTGATATCCAAATGTTTATTTACCTCATAACTTCTATAATTTAAACATTGATTTGAACTTACAGAAATGAAAAAGTAAAGCATTTGGAAATTGATCCGAGAATACAGAACATTTCTATAGGAAACAAGATGTGAACCATAAGACTCAATGAGTTGGATGGTGGCAATAATTAATACTTACGACTCAATAATCGAATCAAATTAGAATATAGATTATAGAAATGTCCCATATCTTTCTCCTATGACTGTATAATGCTTTTACCAAGTAGAAAATTCCTAAGTCTACCCACCCAAGTAATTTTCTGACCCTGTTTTTTTTTGCAGTGGCGGCTTATTTGGCCTCCCCAGGACGGACTGGAGCATCAGTAGTGCCTGAGTTCATCAAAGGACAGATGCTCAAGACACCTTGATCACCATTAGGTGGAATTGAAGGAGCCAAAAATGGGCGCAGTGGCTCCTCAGCAGAGACGCTCCTGAATGTATAGACATGGGAACCACTTTCAGCATCAAAAAAGGAAACGTTCTGCATGCCCATATCCAGAAAAATCCCCACTCGCTGTAACTTGCGGTCTACTAAGAGGAAAGTCAGCGGCACCGTGCTGGCAGAGAGGCGGCTTCCATCCCTCAAACTCACAGTCCAGAATCCAAGCTCTGTGGTCAGCTGGATCTTCCCTTTGCAGTGAACAGATTCTCTGCAGACTCCCAGGTCCCATTCTGTGCTTGTTCCCACGTCCACCTCCCAGTAGTGGCGGCCACAGGTAAAGCGAGGGGAGCCCAGGATGCAAACGGACACGTCAAATCTCTCGGCAAGGTCTTGCCGATTCTGTGTGATGAGCCCACTTCGGACGCTCCTGAGGTCGTCAGAAATGAGGAGGAAGTTGTTGGCTGTGTCGGCATCCAAGGTCATATCCACTGTGAAAAGGAAAACAAGTTGCTCAGCAAGTGGACAGAAGCCAACCCCATGCCTCTCTTCTACTTCAAAGGCCCAAATATCTCCTGACTTTAGTTTCTTTAATTCTGTTTCTTCCTCCAAAATCAAAACTTTTCATGAGGAAACTTCCCTATTTCAAATTTTCATAGGTATGCTTTGTGGCAATACGTGACTCTTATTCACAGTAGCAATTCTTATTTTACTTTACGTCACGTGTTTGCTTCACTGAACTTTTCTTCATTTAGAGTGGAGGGTCTCTGAAGGCAGACACCATGCCCCCCTTTCTACCACCTTGATGTGTGAACAAATAAATGATAATTAAGACAATGCAAGTGGTCAATATTAAATATGTTTCTGCTTCCACATTTTATTGCTCCAATTCAGTATATAGAGCATGATTCCAGGCTTTTGTTTTCCATGTTTGTAAACAAATTAATTGTGCACAGTTCTGACAGCAGATAGGGTATCTCTGCAGCTGACAATGTGATGACAGAGATGCTGGTCCTGGACATTAGGAGGCTCTAAGGCCAGGTGGAGGAGGGGGACCTTTTAGATGAAAGAATGTTTTCTATCCTACATGGAAGGTGAGACCTTAAGCAAAACAATGGTAAATTTTGGAGCCAAGAGAAAGGTATTTGAAAGTTGTCTGTCATAACTGACTGATTGTAGAGAATAAGGGCAGAAAATACAAAGGTCAATAATTTAAGGCATTGGGTATGTGACTGACAGGTGAAGCCGCCAATTCTCATGGAGGAGGCAGTGTGATCTGGCCTAGAGAAAATTAATTGTCCAGAACATTCTGAAAAAAAAAAATCTACAAAATATATTATCCTTCAAGTCAAAAAACTGATATGATCACTAATATAGATTTTATAGATCACAGTAAGACTACCCTAGTCAAGACTAGGGATTGATTGCTATTTAATGGTGAATTAGGGAATGGACATGGACAAGGAAGGAGGAAGAGGGTTCCAAACATGACTTGGACAGGGTGAATCTCTGTCCTCCATAGTTCAGCAGAGAGACAGTCAGGTATGGGTAGATGGATGAGTAGAGATCATGGGTGTCAGGGCAGAAGCTACCAGTGTCAGGGACATTATAGGGGCCCACCACCATTTATAGGTGTAATTCTTTGCCCAGGCTGACCATAACCTTTTCATTTAAATGTCCCTTTTCCCCAGAGTTATGGAGAGTGATAGTATTTTCTGTAGCCAGGACCACTGTTGGAGCCCATGGCGCATGGATGAGGAGACCAATATCTGCAACTCTCCCCACTCACAGAAACAAACACCATAGGTGCTCCATTCCCAACTCTTCTCAACCCTGGGGTGAGGTTGTTTGGTACAATGGGTGCCAATATTCACTGTGCATTAGAAATACCAGGCCCATCTTAATGTCAGATTCATGGGAACCTTTGCTAGAGAGAAATTCAAATTCAGTTGCTCTATGTTTTTGCTACTCAGCAAAGTCCCCAAGCCAGCGGGATCAATCCTGAGACTTCCCAGTTCAGCATCTGCATTTTAACAAGATCCCCAGGTAATCTGAGCACACTAAGTTTAGAGAATCCCTTGTCTAACCCATGACATAGACATCGGGTTTTTGTTTGTTTTTGTTTTTGACATCACCAGGTGATTCTATGTGTTGTCAGGGCTGAGAATGTGATGATGAAGCATCTCAATTTTAGGTGCCAGACAGCAGCTAATCCCCATGTGGAATGAGGGGCCAACTGCACAGATGATTTTTCCTGGTCTGGTCTTGGGAAGGGGGCAGGGTATACAGATTCCTTACCTTGGAACTTCCGCATCCTTGGGTTCATCTGTAGAATCTTCTTCAGCTTGGGCTCCAGTTCCTTGATGTGGGAAACCAGCCTCTCTAGCTGCCGATTGGGCCTGATTTTGTTCCTCTGAGAGACCATGGAACAGCAACAGCAAAGCAGATCCTCCCCATGGGGCTCCTTCTGCAGCGAATTGATGCACTTGAGGCAGACGGTGCATCCACACTCCAGGGACATTGGTTTTTCCAGATAGTCTGAGCAGACGGGACAGCTGCTTGCTTCTTGGAAGAGTGCAGCCATGTCCACTGCCAGGGGAAAAGTACACAAGGGAAGAAAATTTCCTTGAGGTGAAAGCCTGTTAGTTGTGACAAGTGACAACCTTTTCATGCATAGAGGTATTGTGTTCCAGCTTTGTCACTCCGAGAACAAGACCATGAGTACAAACACTCAAGCACATCCCCCCACCCCCCGTCCTCAGAGATTTGAAGTTCTATTGGGAAAGTCACGAATCATCACTGTGCTCTGAGCTGAGGTGGAGGAAGGGTCCATTCTCCTGGTGACCCAGCAGCTGAGCCTGAGCCAGTGACGTGGCAGCACCCATGTGAGGAACAGCGAGCTGGGGTCATTTCACCACCTCCTAGGGGAACCCCAGCAAGAGACTGATTGATGAACATAAGAATTAGGAGCTGAGAGGCTGGGCACGATGGCTCATGCCTGTAATCCCAGCACTTCGGGAGGCCAAGGTGGGTGGATCATCTGAGGTCATCAAAAGTTCGAGACCAGCCTGATGGGTGAAACCCCATCTCTACTGAAAATACAAAAGAATTAGCCAGGCGTGGTGGCACACGCCTGTAATCCCAGATACTTGGGAGGCTTTGGCAGGAGAATCGCTTGAACCTGGGAGGCAGAAGTTGCACTGAGCCAAGATTGTGCCATTGCACTCCGGCCTGGGCAACAGAGTGAGACACCATCTCAAAAAAAAAAAAGGGGGCTGGATGCAGTAGCTCACATCTGTAATCCCAGCACTTTGCGAGGCCAAGGCAGGAAGATCCCTTGAGCCCAGGAATTTGAGACGAGTCTGGACAACACAGGAAGACCTCATCTCTACAAACAATACAAAAATTAGCAGTGAGCAGAGACCACGCCAGGTCACTCCAACCTGGACAACACAGTAAGACCCTGTCTCACCAAAAGAAAAGAAAAGAAAAAAAATTACATCCTTCTCCAGCCTTGGAAATGAATACCAAATTAACTGCCACCACTGGTGGGCAGGGGACAGGCTCGGAGGTTCCCTGAATGACAGAGAGTTGTTTTAGGAACCTCATGTCACACCCTTCTGAGACACTGTGGACCATGTCTGAGGGGTCCTACACTGGCACTGAGGGGGCCTGACCCCTCTTCATACACTGAGGTCAGGGGGCTCCCAGGTACACAACAGGATGCTGACCTCCTGCCGCTCGCCCACCCACAGGCCAGCCCAAGGCCACCCCCTTGGTCACTCTGTTCCCGTCCTCCTCTGAGGAGCTCCAAGCCAAAAGGCCACACTGCTGTGTCTCATGAGTGGCTTCTACCCGGGAGCTGTGACGGTGGCCTGGAAGGCAAACAGCACCCCTGTCACCCAGGGTACGGAAGTCACCAAGACCTCCAAACAGAGCAACAAGCACACAGCCAGAAGCGACCTGAGCCTGACACCCGACCAGTGGAGGTCCTGCAGCAGCTACAGCTGTAAGGTCACACACAAGAGAGCACTGTGGAGAAGACAGTGGCCCCTGAAGAATGTTCTTAGGTCCCTGACCCTCACCCCACCCATGGGGGCCTGGAGCTGCAGGATCCCAGAACAGAGATCCCCTCCCACCCCAAATCATCCAGCCCCTCTCCTTGTACCAGTAAACCCTTAATAAATATCCTCACCGTCAACCAGAAATCCTGCTCCCTCTCTTCATTTCTTAGCTAACATATAATTTGACACTCACCCTGGGTTCTTAGTGTGTGTAAGGGGGGATTACTTGCACCCTGTTGGATAGCAGCCCGGGGGAGAGGCTCCCAGACTCCCAGGGGTGTCTCCTGAGGAAACAGGCCAGGCCAGGCATTTGATCACTGAACACCTCTCTCTCCATTCTCTCTCCCCACCTCTTCCTCCTTGCAGCTTGGCCCCCAATTGCTGACTACTTCCTGGATGAAGCTGTCCCTAGCTGAGCCTTAAGACGCACCCTCTGTCCCTACCCTAGTCAAGACCCTCTACCCACCCACAGCCTCTGTTTCTTTAGCCTTGAAATCCTACTCTGGGCCTGGAGCTCCCTGGCCCCTGGAATGCCCTCTTTTCTCTCTGCCCAGCTCCCCAGCCCTGAGAGCCAGGCTGTCCAGGACACTGTTGCATCGTCAAATTCATGAGGTCTTACATTTGGGGCCCGCCTCAATTCTTCACCTTACAGCAGGTTCAGAGATGGAAAAAAAAATGGGAGGAAGCCAGGAAGGAAACACACACAAAAGGCCAGCAGGTGGCTCAGGATGCTTGTGAAAGGTAGTATCCCAGCTGTGCAGGAAGCAGTGCAAGGAGGGTAATAGGTGTTCCCTTATTTCTATGAGAATATGCAAAGCATTTGCTCAAGGAGAGTTGGTTTTCTCAGTGTTGAAGCCAGCCATCTTTTCTTTTCTTTCTTTTTTTTTTTTTTTTTTTGAGACAAAGTCTCGCTGTGTCACCAGGCTGGAGTGTAGTGGCACAATCTTGGCTCACTGCAACCTCTGCCTCCCAGGTTCAAGCGATTCTCCTGCCAAAGCCAGGCATCTTTTCACGACTAAAAGCAAGTACCTGTCTTAACCAAGGCCTCAATATTGATGGGATTTGGTCTCTGACACATGCACAGGTGACCTGTGCACCTAGGGCTGCCTGGCAGCTCTAGGAAATGGCAATTCTGTCAGGTACTTGGCACAGAAAGTCACTGGCCTTCTTTGGAGGATGCATCATTTATGGAAACACTTCTTTATTGGATCCTGGGTCTCGGGTGGAAAACCAGGTCCCACATCAGGACTTTCTCTGTGAGGCTCCCAGGTTCTGGGGCTCCAGCTGCTGTCTGAGAGGAAGGTGTGGAGACAGAGAACATAGCCTAGAAGAGCCTGGAACTGAGACTTCCCCTTACCGAGGTTATGCAAATGAGGTTCTTGGACTACATATTCTGATTGGATGAGAAGAAAAACCTCTAGATCTACTCTGATTGGGCTTTATTTGCATGTTCTGATTGGATGAGAGCAAGTCTTAGGACAACCAATCAGAACATGATAACAAAGTCCAATCAGAGTAGGCCTAGAGGTTTTCCTCATCCAATCAGAACATGTAGCCCAGGAACTTCATTTGCATAAATTCTCATATATAAATGATGCCAAGTGGGGGGAGTTTTGTCATTCCAAGCTCTCCTGCGTCAGCTTGTGTAGCTGGTTAGTACTGGCTTAGAGGAAAAAGAAAACGAGTCACTTCCTGAGCACACTGGAGTCTGGAAGCTTAGAGGAAAAGGAGGAGGAGCAACTTCATTAGCACAGTGGAGGCTGGAGCCTGCCGTGGCTCACCTCGCTGCTGCCGTTGGTGCGGGCCAGGGAGACTAGAGCGCAGCCAGAATGGTAAAATGGTGGTGGGAAAAGTTCGCCATCCCAGGCCGTACTGCCTGTGGCGTGGCGTGGTGGGGTGGGTTGGAGGCCCTATCCAGGGCGTTACTGCCCGTGTTAGGAGGCTGGTTGGATGTGGTATCTGGGGCCTCACTGCCCACAGAGGGGAGTGGGTTGGGGGTGCTATCGGGTGTGCGCTGCCCGTGGCTGGGGGTGGGTTGGAGCACTATCCCAAGCTGTACTGCTAGCGGCAGTGGGGAGTTCTGGGGGCACTATCTGGGGATGCAGTGGCCGTGGCCGGCGGGCGAGTTGGAAGAACTATCGGGTGTTGCATTGCCCTTGTCAGGCACGGGTTGGGGGCGCTATCGGGTGCTACTCTGCCTGCGGTGGGCGGGACGTGTTATATCCAGGGCATCATTGCCTGCGTCTAGAAGCTGGCTGGGGGCATTATCCATAGCTGCACTGCCCACAGCAGGGAGCAGGTTGGCAGCACTATCTGGGGCTGCAGTGCTGTGGTGGGGGACGGGTTAGGCTCATTACAGGGTGCTACACTGTTGGCAGCAGGGAGGGGGGTGTTGAGGGCGCTTTCTGGGGCCTACACTGAGACAGAGATAGCAGGATTTATTGGGAGTGCTACTGGGGGCCAGACTGCCCGTGTAGAGGGGGTGGGAGGCTGGTTGGGGGCGCTATTGAGGGACGTATCCACTGCCCGTTTTGGGAGGGGGCGGGTTGGGTGCTATCAGAGGTCTGTACTGCGTGCCAGGGAGCTGGTGGGTGTGCTACCTGGGGCCACATTGGTTCCGGCGGGGCGGGTTGGGTGCGCTATCGGGGGCTACCTTGCCCGCGCAGGGGGTGGGTTGGGTGCGCTATCTGTGGCTGTACTGCCGGAGGCAGGGAGTGAGTTGGGGCGTCTCCCTGGGTTGCTGCTCCCAGTGGGGAGCAGGTTGGGGCACTATCCGGGGTTGCACTTCCCGCAGTTGGGGGGCGGTTTGGGTGCCATATCAGGGCATTACTGCCCCCAGCAGGGGTCTGGTTGGGGGCACTATTCGTGGCTACACTGTGTACGGCAGGGAGCGGATTGGGGGCGCTATCCCGGGCTGCACTGCCCGCGGCAGGGGGCGGGTTCTGGGCGCCATTGGGTGCTGCAGTGTCCGAAGCAAGGGCAGGTTGGGGTCGCCATTGGATGCTACACTGCCGGTGGTTGGGGGTGAGGTGTTGGAGGCGCTATCTGGGGGCTACACTGCCGGCGGCGGGTTAGGGGTGCTGTTGGGGGCTGCGCTGCCCCCCTGGTGCTGGTGGTGTCAGTGACGGGTGGTCAGAGGAGCGGTCCTCGTCTCCCCGGACTCCAGACTCTAGAGGGCCATCTCCTCCTGCTGGAGCGCGGCGGATGCACAGCGTTTCCGCGGGGATCCTGAGCACAATCCGTCACCTAGACCAGCCGTGGTTCCCAGGCCCGCGCCCTCTATGTGTTGCGGAAACTGCCTGGGACCCCCGGGCACGCAGTAGCTGACACTACGGGGTGATAGGGCCCCGTGGGTGGAGGCGTCAGGAACGGGAACCAGCACTAGGGTTGGGAGGGCTGGCTGGGGTTCAGTTTTTGCTGCTCCTGCTTCCCGAGGAACGCAGCCAGGGTGGGCCCAGCGGTTCTAGTAGAGTAGGAAGCCCGGGCACTGTGGTGTCTCCAGTCCCCACTCCAGGCCCTAGTTCCTGGCCAACTTGGGCCAAAAGGAGAGGCTGGACTTTGGAGGGTGGGCGTGAGTGCCTTCGCTGAAACCGGCCTCTGCCATCCAGTGGCCAGCATGCCAAGGTGAGGCTCTAACGCTACCACTCTCTGCATCCTGTTCTAGGCTTTCTTGGCTTTGCCTGCCCAGTTGTTTCATGCCAGGAGGAGGAGCCGCCTGCTGGAGGCTGGAGCTTGTGGCACCACCGCTCGCCTCGCTGTGGTTGGTGGCGGCCATGGAGACTAAAGACTCAGCGCTGGAGTGGTAGGAGGGCGGCAATGAAAACTGAAGAGCACCAGAGCGGTAGGATGGCGGCTGGCTGCCGCCAGGGCACAGGCAGTGCAGTGGTCAGGTGTTAGGAGCCTTGTAGGGTGGGCCTGTGCGTTGAGGGTGACAGCAGTAGTAGTTGTATTAGCATCGGTGCTAGTTGTGGCAGCAGCAGCAGCAAGTTTGGGGGCCGGGAAGGCAGGTCGGAGCGTTGGGGGGCAGCCCTGCCTGGCCTGGGGTGGGTAGGAAGCTGTGGGCCTCTGTGACAGCGGTGGAGGTGCAGCCAGGGGAAGGAGGAGTCTTCCCCGCATCTCCTGCAGAATCTGGAGGGCGCCCTCCTCCTGCTGGCACCTGAGTCAGGTGTGAGTGGCACCATTATGTTATTAACAGAAGTTTGGGGGGTAACTATTTGTGTATCATTTTGCTTGGTTTTTTGTCAGGGTAGTCTTGGACTTTTTTTTTTTTTAATTTCTGGGGTACATGAGCACAACGTGCATGTTTGTTACATATGTATCCATGTGCCATGTTGGTGTGCTGCACCCATTAACTCGTCATTTGCATTAGGTATATCTCCTAATGCTATCCCTCCCCCCTCCCCCCATCCCACAACAGGCCCTGGTATGTGATGTCCCCCTTCCTGTGTACAAGTGTTCTCATTGTTCAATTCCCACCTATGAGTGAGAACATAACGATGTTTGGTTTTTTGTCCTTGTGATAGTTTGCTGAGAATGATGGTTTCCAGCTTCATCCATGTCCTTACAAAGGCCATGAACTCATCATTTTTTATGGCTGTGTAGTATTCCATGGTGCATATGTGCCACATTTTCTTGGACTTTTTTAAATTTCATGAATCAGGAAGGGGACAAAATGTATAATAGGTCTCCTTGATTCTCTTACCTGTTCTTTTTCTTTTTTTCCAGCCTGGTTTTTCTTCTGCTTATCATCATTTTCTTGTTCCTGTTCATTTTCTTATGCTGCTGCTTCTATTTCTTGTGTCCTTTCTTGTTTCTCCTCCTCCTCCCTTTGTTTTCTTTATCACAAGCAATGGCCTTAACAAACAACAGTCCAAAACTGAGTTAAAAATAGACGACTTGTCATTGTATTCCACCCGCCCACCCCCCCCCCGCCCTCCCCCCACCGCCCCCACCCTCCCCCCACGCCCCCCACCCCCGCCCCGACGGAATCTTGCTCTGTTGCCCAGGCTGGAGTGCAGTGGTGATCTCTGCTCATTGCAACCTCTGTCTCCCAGGTTCAAGCAATTCTCCTGCCTCAGCCTCTTGAGTAGCTGGGATTACAAGCGAATACTGCTGTGCCCGGCTAATTTTTGTATTTTTAGTAGAGATGGGGTTTCGCCATGTTGGCCAGGCTGGTATTGAACTCCTGACCTTGTGATCTTCCCATCTCAGCCTCTCAGAGTGCTTGGATTACAGGCGTGAGCCACCTCGCCGGCCCAGTGTGTTGTATTTTAAAAATGATCGGTCCGTTATTGTTTTAGAGATGAGGAAAAAATCAGTTGGATAATTATTTAGATTCTTGAGTAGCTGTGCTTTCATATCCTGTTAATTCGTTGTAAGTAGTTATTTGGGGAATCAAAAAATGAAGCGTCAAATAAAATATTGGTTGCAAACAGCCATTTTCTCTCTCTCCCATATTAGTCTGGAGATAGGCAAGAGGCATGGAGGTAATAAGTTCCAGTGTATGAGATCATTAAGAGAACCATATTCCCTTCATTTTATTTCTCTGCCACCATTTTCTGAGAGTATTGTCATCTGCATAAGCAAATTTGGTTCATCACATCGTTGCAACAGGAAAAGGAAGGGGAGGATCATGTGGAATTATAATGTTTTTAGGGCAAGATTCACAACCAAAAACAATGCTTCACTAACTTTTGCCTTTAAGAACCTGCAGTGTTGAGCCCTCTTTTATTCCTAATGTTACTACCTTTGTTATGAACTTTTTTTTTTTTTACTGATTTCTCTAGAAATTTATGCATTGTATTGACTGCTTTAAGGAAACAATATATATTGTATCATTTTTTTCAAGCCAACAAATATATAAGGTCTATAATTTTTACACTTTTAAAATTATTTTTAAGGTCATGAATATGTAAAATACTGTTGATATGTGTAAAAATATGCCTAAGTACCACTATATAGCTTATTTTGAAGACGTGTCTAAATTTTTGTCCAGAGTAGATCGGTTGCAGTTTCTTAGGTGTGTTTCTCAATACATAGCCTTAGTGTTTTAAAGCATATAGAAAAAATTTGAATACCGTTAACCTCATGTAGTCATTTGTTTACAGATTAATGTTTCTACAGACTAAAGGCATCACAGTCTCCTTTAAGATTGAGTAATATTAATACAATTTGAGATATATAGGGGTAGAAGCCAACAAATTCAGAGGAAAATTGTTAAATTATATAGCTGTAGATGAGGACATGAAACCCAGGTTCTAAGCTCTAAGGGGGCCATGAGCTACCATACCAAGTGCATCAGTGACTGGGCGTAGTGTTAGCAGACTTTTACAGGATGGTTGAGTGAGCTTTGGAGCCTAACTGTATGTGTACATGAATTTTTAAACTGCGTGGCACTTCCGCGTATCCATCTTTACAATGGGGGCAGTATTAAGTTTTTCTTCTCAGTTGACTGAATTATTTCGGTAGTCTTTGTCTTGCTGTCACTCTTGATGGCCACATGAGAGGAGCTAAGGTAATTTCTGGCAGCCTGGGAGTCCTTGGGAAAAACAGAAGGTGCCAGAGACCCCATTTTAGGAGGAGCCTCTGTTTTCCTCATGGACCCCCAAGAAGTGTAAGCAGACAGGTCCCTCTCAAAACCTGGGGAAGGCTCTGCTTTGTTTTGCCTTGCTTTAGCTGACCTTTTTGTTGAGGGCGGGCATCAGAAATTAGTTGGGGAAAGAGAGCTAAAGAAAGTTGCGGATAAGAAGGTGTATTTATGGTAAAGAAGGTTATGAAGGAAAGAGATTTTATGGGAGGGAGGATTTTGTATTACAAATTCTTGTCCTAAAGTAGAATGACTATTTAGAAAAAGAGAGAAATATAGGACAAGTCAGAAAGCCATAATATGGGAAAGAAAAACTTAGAACTGCTCAATCTTGTCTAGAAGTGCTGTATGTGTGATGTTTGTATAAAGGAGTTCTAATTAACTGGCTTTAAAGAGAATGAAAGCTCTCAAATACTTCTTAAGAAAAATAGAAGCTCTAATGCCTTTTAGTTCATGTGATTTCAGTAATCTTTGGGGAATAAAGGCTTTTAAAAGTTATTGGTAAAATGAAAATGTCTTCAAAATTTAGACATTTGGTGTAAATTAAGTCAGAGGTTAAATTTGCTAAGTGCTTTAATGTCATAGACCACTTCTTTGACTTTAGAAAATTGTTCAGATTATGTGGTTTGGAGCTGTTAGATTTCTATGTAAGGCCCTGGGACAGGTGGAGTTAGCCATGCCTCCTAGCTATGCTAGAAAGAGTTGACTTTATCTGCAGTTCTGTCTTGTATCCTAGACTCTGCACCTGGTACGTAATTAAAACTGCTTATACTAAAAAGAAATATTACCTGTTTTTGATTTTTTAAAAAAGGCGTGGGAAGGCCGGGCGCAGTGGCTCACGCCTGTAATCCCAGCACCTTGGGAGGCCAAGGTGGGTGGATCATGAGGTCAGGAGATCGAGACTATCCTGGCTAAAATGGTGAAACCCTGTCTCTACTAAAAACACAAAAAATTAGCCAGGCTGGTAACACACGCCTGTAATCCCAGCTACTCGGGAGGCTGAGGCAGGGAAATCACTTGAACCTGGGAGGCAGAGGTTGCAGTGAGCCGAATCGCACCACTGCAGTCCAGCCTGGCGACAGAGCAAGACTCTGTCTTAAAAAAACAACAACAACAAAGAGTTTTGTCTAAACTTAGAAATTTTAAGTATTATTTTTAGCTGAAAGAAAATAAAATTTAAGCAAGTTATGGGACATTTATGAAACTTAACTTTGTAAAGAATTGTGTGTCTGAGCGTGTTGACCAAAATGAAAAGGGTATTATTTAGTTCTTCCATAAATTAAATATTAAAACAGAAGGCACTGAAACAGAGCCAGAATCTGGGCCCATATGTCAAAATAATAGGGTTTTTTGGAACATTGATCAGTTCTTTAACAAGAAAAAATGTTATAAAGAGTTATAAATAGTTACGAAAATCTTACCTTATAGTCATTAATTAAAACTGGATAGATTCATAAAATTTTATTATTAAAAAGTAGCTTTAACATTAAAGATGTACTAACGTAAAAATAAAATTTGGTTTCATATTGAGTTCTTTCTTTTGAGAAATCCAAGAGCTCTCTCTGGGGTCTGGATCGGGACCCTTTTCTGGTAACACCACCACCCCCAGCTCTCCCCTCCTTCCTGGCCTCCACTGGGAGGCACTCCCCTGGAGGAGCAGCTGCTGCTGGCCCCCACCAGACTCAGCACAGAAGGCCAGGCCTGGGCTGCTGCTCTGCCCTCACCTACCCAGGAAATGAGATGGATACACACAGGAGAGTTGGCCTGGGTGGGGAGGGCATTCTGGAAGCCTGCCTTGGCTCTCTGGGTCTTTGGCCAGTAGCCACAGAAATGGAGACTCAGTTCCTTCAGCAATCTGTGTTTCTACTGCGTGTCTGGCACAGAGCGAAGTCCTGGGGTGGGGCCCTGGAGGTGTCCTGGAAAAAACGGGACACCTCCCTGTCCTCCAGGAGCTCACCCTAAGTCACAGAAGCCCATGTTTATGGAGGATTTACTATGCAGACTCTCTTCCTTAATTCTCACCACAACCCAGCCGTCAATGCTGTTATTATCCCCATGTGAAGTATCCAAAAAACAAGGTCCAGAGAGGGGAACAGATTTGTCGAAGCTGATCAGTGTTGGAGCTGAGAACTGGAATTCTGTTCTTTAAATTGAACCGTTTTTTAATAGGCATTGATTTTTTTTTTGTGGGTAATTTTATAGTTATGAGTTCATTTTCTTTTTTTAATTTTATTATTATTATACTTTAAGTTTTAGGGTACATGTGCACAACATGCAGGTTTGTTACATGTGTATACATGTACCATGTTGGTGTGCTGCACGCATTAACTCGTCATTTAGCATTAGGTATATCTTCTAATACTATCCCTCCCCCCTCCCCCCACCCCACAACAGTCCCCAGTGTGTGATGTTCCCCTTCCTGTGTCCATGTGTTCTCATTGTTCAGTTCCCATCTATGAGTGAGAACATGTGGTGTTTGGTTTTCTGTCCTTGCGATAGTTTGCTGAGAATGATGGTTTCCGGCTTCATCCATGTCCCTACAAAGGACATGAACTCATCATTTTTTATGGCTGCATAGTATTCCATGGTGTATATGTGTCACATTTTCTTAATCCAGTCTATCATTGTTGGACATTTGGGTTGGTTCCAAGTCTTTGCTATTGTTAATAGTGCCACAATAAACATACGTGTGCATGTGTCTTTATAGCAGCATGATTTATAATCCTTTGGGTATATACCCAGTAATGGGATGGCTGGGTCAAATGGTATTTCTAGTTCTAGATCCGTGAGGAATCTCCACACTGACTTCCACAATGGTTGAACTAGTTTACAGTCCCACCAACAGTGTGAAAGTGTTCCTATTTCTCCACATCCTCTCCAGCACCTGTTGTTTCCTGACTTTTTAATGATCGCCATTCTGACTGGTGTGAGATGGTATCTCATTGTGATTTTGATTTGCATTTATCTGATGGCCAGTGATGATGAGCATTTTTTCATGTGTCTTTTGGCTGCATAAACGTCTTCTTTTGAGAAGTGTCTGTTCATATCCTTCGCCCACTTTTTGATGGGGTTGTTTGTTTTTTTCTTGTAAATGTGGTTGAGTTCATTATAGATTCTGGATATTAGCCCTTTGTCAGATGAGTAGGTTGCGAAAATTTTCTCCCATTTTGTAGGTTGCCTGTTCACTCTGATGGTAGTTTCTTTTGCTGTGCAGAAGCTCTTTAGTTTAATTAGATCCCATTTGTCAATTTTGTCTTTTGTTGCCATTGCTTTTGGTGTTTTAGACATGAAGTCCTTGCCCATGCCTATGTCCTGAATGGTAATGCCTAGGTTTTCTTCTAGGGTTTTTATGGTTTTAGGTCTAACGTTTAAGTCTTTAATCCATCTTGAATTGATTTTTGTATAAGGTGTAAGGAAGGGATCCAGTTTCAGCTTTCTACATATGGCTAGCCAGTTTTCCCAGCACCATTTATTAAATAAGGAATCCTTTCCCCATTGCTTGTTTTTCTCAGGTTTGTCAAAGATCAGATAGTTGCAGATATGTGGCGTTATTTCTGAGGGCTCTGTTCTGTTCCATTGGTCTATATCTCGTTTTGGTACCAGTACCATGCTGTTTTGGTTACTGTAGCCTTGTAGTATAGTTTGAAGTCAGGTAGCGTGATGCCTCCAGCTTTGTTCTTTTGGCTTAGGATTGACTTGGCGATGTGGGCTCTTTTTTGGTTACATATGAACTTAAAGTAGTTTTTTCCAATTCTGTGAAGAAAGTCATTGGTAGCGACAATAATATCTTTTCTTTAGATTATCTGGATTATGAAAGCAAGCACTTTTTTCATTAAAACAATTATGTACTAGGAAAAACTGTCATAATGGTATTAATGTTGGCAATATTGATTATGAAATTCAGGGATAAATTGCTGCCTATGGTCTGTGTCTTCAGTATTGTAAGCCGCAGCCATCATGTAATTTCAGATTAATACCAATTTTGTTCCCTGATAGATGGAGCTTAAACAGTATATCCTGCTTTAAATTTCTACCTCTAGCAGATCTGTATTGGAGGGAGTTTTCCTTTGTATTTTTTAATGTATGTTATTCTGTTTCCAGTAGCTTGGAAAGTAGAGATGACTAATGTTTTAGCCTTTTCTTGGAGAAAAGGAAGAACTCTTGT